>NC_000006.12:9605454-9756969 GCF_000001405.40 Homo sapiens | reverse complement strand
AGCATATGGAAGTTACACCCTCATCTCTCCAAATACGAACAGGAATGGAAGGATCTTAAATACGCTGATGGTACATAAAAGTTTCTTAAATATACAGCAATGGTGTGTTAACCTAGTGTATCTTATTGGAAAGATGCCAAGTGCTTAGAAAATTCCTAAGAAGAAAAGCAACTGATATCAATGCAGATTTATCTTAAATTTATTTCTACTTTAAAAACGGAATTCTTGTATAATGTAGAACAAATAATAAAGATAAGGTAATTTAAGGTTTTATGAACTTTTTGCTTTTAAATATTTGCATGGTATGAGCTTTTACAGAAATATTTCAAGAATATACTCTAAAGGCACCTAGCATTATGGTCCATCTGTCTGCCGCTCCTTTCTGCCATGTTGCTGCTGACCTAAAATTTGATTTTCATTGGCAGCTTCCTGTTGAGTTGTCATAGAATCTATGTGGCTACTTTAAGGGTGGACTACTTCCTATTTTTCAAGGCCATCCAATTTGTTTTGGGAAATTTTGACAGTGAAAAAATTCTTCCTATTAGTAAAATCTGTGATTCTGTGTTTTAAATTATTATTATCAGTTTGACTCGCTAAAATCTCAGGTCAAAAACTAATCTATTTATGCCTATATTTATTTATCCTATTTATGTATCCAAATAACTTATTTATGCATTTGTCTATCTCAAGATGTAAAGATTTGTTAAATATCATTAGATCAATTACATCTCAATTTCAGTATTCCTCATTACCTTCTTATCTAGTCACTGCCTACAGTGGCTAGAAACTTAGTACTCTCAATACACAGCTCTGCACAAATGCTTGGGAAGGATTCAAGGATAAGAATGAACATAGCTTTCACCTTTTAGGAGTCGGAAGAACAAGCAGTGTGTACTATTTTCATTGATGGGCTGAATATTACCATGGTTTAGCCTGTTTATGGATTTGATAGATTATGGATTACTCTGCTCTCCAATATTCTGTTTTATTGCCAGACACATGGAAGACTACCTATTCCCTTTGTAGTTGGTCTGAATTCCTCTGGCCAATTGATTAAGAACAGAAAGAGATGTGTGTCCTTCCTGCTCAAAGCATTTAATCACCAGTGTGACATCCCCTCTCTCCTTTCCTCTAGCTAGTGGTTATGGAAGAGGCCTGTATTGAGATTGCAGGATGAACAGATCAAAGTTGCTTAGATTACTGAGTCTTCCTATGGAAGAGAGCCACTCTGGAGCAACTATCCTGTAGCAAACTTTGCATGAACAAGAATATCGTATATTGTGTGAAGTCATTGAAATGTGGGAGTTGTTACCATAACATAACCCAGCCTACCTTAATTAATACCATAATCAGCCTTGAAAGCCTACGGTCACTCAAAATTTATGATTTTTTTGGTAAACTATTTTAAAAATTGCTTGCAGTGGGGCTAACATATGGAAGAGATCTCTTAGCTAGTGATGACGTAGCCTGTTCAGACTGCCATGTCTATACCTATAGGATACATCATCTTATTTAATGTTCAAAACATCCAGATGAAGTTGCTAATATCTACAATACATCTATGGAAGTGATATAATTTGCTGTGAAAGTAATTTTAAATTGGGAAAATTCCAAAGGTGTCAGGGTATATCGTTCAAGAATGTTCAAGTGTGGGCCGGGCGCAGTGGCTCATGCCTGTAATCACAGCACTTTGGGAGGCCAAAGCGGGTGGATCATGAGGACAGGAGTTTGAGACCAGCCTGGCCAAGATGGTGAAATCCCGTCTCTACTAAAAATACAAAAATTAGCTGGGCGTGGTGGCGGGCACCTGTAATCCCAGGTACTCGGGAGGCCGAGGCAAGAGAATTGCTTGAACCCGGGAGGCAGAGGTTGCAGTGAGCCGAGATCCTGCCACTGCACTCTAGCCTGGGCTACAGAGCAAGACTCTGTCTCAAAAAAAAATGTTCAAGTGTATGTTGCACTAAAAGGGAACAAATCAACCATCAGTGTCTTTATCCTTTCCCCCCTAACATATATACTCAAAAGCCATTTCACCCTCTTATGTCTTGGTAAAACAGGTGTCCTTTCACTTCTCCTCCTGAATTTCCATCTATGGAGATGTTTTTTTTTTTCCCCCAAGTCAACATGCTCCTATTGGAGCCTACCAGCTCCCCTTGGATCCCATGTACTCTGCGACTGCTGATTACCACGGGGACCTTTGGAATCCCTGCTTTTCTCAATTGTGCTACTTCTGTGCTGACCTCAGTAGATGAATGCTGTGGGTCGGGCCCCACCCCTTTTCTCTTTACTGGCCTGTCATAAATCTGTGCTAGTGCAGTCAGGCCTGTCATCAACCTTCGTAGTGTCCATTTTTACTCTCCACCCTCTACCTATAGGGTTTTATCCTACGATCCCCACTTGACTAATTTACAGGCCCATATAGACCTCAGCAGAAAGTTACTCAAAGATGGCTTTAGTGGGTGTAGAATGAAACCAGAGTCTGTTGTGCATTTTTATCTTCAAACTGCATTCCTCTTCTGTCAGCTGAAGTACAGCTTTGTCTCTTCTTTTCCCTGATGTTCAGCGAGTGACTGTTGTATCAAAACCACATGGAATACGTTACATGCACATGTATACATTAATCTCACAGACAACTTAAAATTCTCAGAAAAAAACCCAGGCTATCATCATAGTTAAAATAAAATTTTTTTTCTAATCACAGTATCATCTTTATTGATTCTCTCTCCTCAGGTATACTAGTGGTTTGCAGTACTGGGCATATCAATGGTTTGTAGTAAGGGGCATGACAACGCCAGTTCCCGTAAGTGACTGTTCATCTTCTTCTTTTCCATTTAATTCCAGGATCCCCCAGTGCTTGAAAGATACAGCCCATTAGAGGGCCATCCACCCAATGATGTCCATTTTTTTAGCTACAGTGAAACTCAGATGTGACATTAGAGCTTTTTATTACCTGATGCTCAGAAACACTCTTTTTTTTTTTTTTTTTTGAGATGGAGTCTCCCTCTGTCGCCCAGGCTGGAGTGCAGTGGCGTGATCTCGACTCACTGCAAGCTCCGCCTCCCGGGTTCAGGCCATTCTCCTGCCTCAGCCTCCCGAGTAGCTGGGACTACAGGCGCCCGCCACCACACCCGGCTAATTTTTTCTATTTTTAGTAGAGCCAGGGTTTCACCGTGTTAGCCAGGATAGTCTTGATCTCCTGACCTCGTGATCCTCCCGCCTCGGCCTCCCAAAGTGCTGGGATTACAGGCGTGAGCCACCGCACCTGGCCAGAAACACTCTTAGGTAGTACTTCTTTCTCACATCCCTGTACAGACTATGGCTGGAATTTGAAGCAAGATGAGTTCATCTTCCTAGCCCATTCATTATAAGTCTAGCATTAGTTTTACAACGATTGTAAAGCTTCTCTCATGTAGACAGGAACTGATATGTGTGCTTCTTCATAGTTTCCTATTATTTGATGATAGTTCATAAAATTCTACAAATGTTTCAATGCACATGAATTTGGGCAAAGCATGAACCTTTCTGTTTGTCTGACTATAACAAGGGGACATCTGCCATCAACCCATTTTCTAAATAACAATGAGTTCTTTTCCTCTTCCTTCAGTCTGTCATACTTTCTATCAGTAAATTATTGTTCTCCTTCACACATTCTTGAATTTGAGATCACAACGTTCCCCCCAAATCAAATCAGTTCCTAAGCACATATATTCTTTCCGCGTAACATCTCTAGCGTAACATCTCTAGCCAAACATCTCTTTTCTTCAAACCTTTTCGTGGCTAAATTATTGGGATGACCACCTTAATAATAATCTTAAATCCAGCAGATAGCCTGTTAGGAGTATTTAGTAGGCATGAATTCTAAGTGTCTGAGAGGTGCAGTTCTTTGACGTGGCCAATATGTCATGTGGGATAAACCTGTCTGGGAACGAAGCTATGAATTTAGCTGAGGCTTTCTGAAATGTGGGGTCTCCTACAAGAGCACAGGTGGAAGAGTTTCTTTTTTTTTCTTTTTGCTACTTTGGGAGAAACATTTGTTGCACCCTGTGGAGCTAGAACAGGAGAATTGGGCTCAATAATAGTAAATCTTAAATTTATCTTTATCTTGGGTACCTTTCTGATTGTGGCTGATAGCAGATTGGAACCTAGGGAATAACATAAGAACAGCAGTTCTCAGGGTATTTTAAATTAAAGTTGTTTGGGGATTTATCAGGCCTCAGAAGTCTCCTCTAGATAATTCCATCTATGGATTTGGGGATAGAGATTGTTATTCTTATTTTTAATTTGATTTCTGACCTTTCTGCTCATTCTCCCTTTCTTTTCCCAAATATGCCAATTTTTATTTTGCTCCTCAATAGTTAAAACAAACAATAGGGCAAGCACTTTGAAACAAATGGCTTGGGTTATTTAGGAGTGTATATACAGTAGTAAGAGGTTACTACTGTATCCCTCTCATATCACTTCAACTCACCCCTCCATCCACAGATAAGATTAAATAATCTTTTCCCCTCTACTGATCAGTTCTTATGTCCTTTAACCACACGTCATTCCCTTCTTGTACTGTTTTAATATTATGCCAGCATTACCATTGGTCCCACTGCCCCTCTACCTGCTACTTTATTCTCTTCCTTTTACTTCTAAAACTATCATCTATTGGCAGCTGAGACCCAATTCTAAATTCTTCCTGAGTACTAGACTTAGGTGGACTACTGGCTCTTTATCTGTACCTCAAAGTCAAAAGATATGGAGCTGAACGTGCAGACCTTCCCCATCAACTGGATCTGTCCCCTGTTCTGAGAAACACGTCTTATTTGCAAATGATATCTGCTGTCCCATCCACTCAAAGGTTTGGAATCTCTTTGAATGTCCCCTATCTTTGTTCTCTGCATTGAATTATGGATTTGCTCAGCAAATATTTATCGGGCACCAACCATTCTGCTAGGCTCTAGAGATACAAAGATAAATAAAATGGGTATGTAACCATCACAACATGTTTGTGTTCTTGAGTTTTGGGTCATTATTAAAAGGAGGTACTTATTAAAAGGAGGTACTGTTGTTTCATATGGGTTTACATGAAAGGCATTCAACTGTAGATATCATTCTGTTTCTCATGTCTTCAACCCTATGCCTTTAAGATATCTCCATGTTGGCTGAGCAGGGTGGCTCACACCTGTGATCCAAACACTTTGGGAGGCCAAGGTGGATGGATCACCTGAGGTTAGTAGTTTGATACCAGCCTGGCCAACATGGTGAAACCCCGTCTCTAGTAAAAATACAAAAAATTAGCCAGACACAGTGGTGGGCACCTGTAATTCCAGCTACTTGGGAGGCTGAGGCAGGAGAATCCCTTGAACCCAGGAGGCAGAGGTTGCAGTCAGCCGAGATCGTGCCATTGCACTCCAGCCTGGGCAACAAGAGCAAAAGACCATCTCCAAAAAAAAAAAAAAAAAAAAAGATGTCTCCATGTTGATTCATGTAATATTCTGATAGCTAATATAATGAGTGTAATATTCTAATACATTCTAATATCTGTGCACTGTTTCATTGTGTCCATTCACGCTTTTCAGTGGAGGAGGGTGGATAACTTCCAATTCCACTAGCAGAAACAACATTGAAGTCAATATATCCCTTCAGGGTCCTATATGAGAATTTCTCTGGGAAATACACCTAGGAGTGGGATTGCTGGGTCACCATGTACAGTTGTGCTTTACTTGACTAAGCAGTTGCTGAATAGCTAAATGAGCCTTTCACCCACCGATGGTGCATGAGGATCCTGTTTTCTCACATACTCTCCTACATGTAGCATGATCCAGTTTTCTAATTTTTGACAATATGATGCATTTCAAATGATGGCTCATTGTTTTAATTTACTTTCTCTAATTACAAATATATTTGAGTGTTCTTTCAATACTTACTGCCACTGAGGTTTCTCCTTCTGAGAGTAGTTTGTTCACATATTTTGTCTGCTTTCTATTGAGCTTTCTGTATTTTTCTTGTTAATATGTGGACCTTTCTAGTGAATTCTAGGTATTTGTACCTTAATGATGTCCAATTTTGCCAATATCTTATCTCAATCTGTCATCTGCCTATTCAGTACCTTTTTTTAATTACTCATCTGCCAATTTTTCTTTGTTGACTCTTATTAAATTGATACCCTTAATTGCAATGTTGTCATAACATTTTCACCTTGTGGTTTATGTTTTTTTGGAGTTATGTTGAAAAAACTTTCTTCTGTATTCGTTTATTTTAAGTTCCGGAGTACATGTGCAGGATGTGCACTCTTGATCATAAAGATAGTCTCTTACTTTTTTTCTTCTAAGGTTACAATTTGCTATTAACTATACATTTACTCTACCCATCCATTTGGAGTTCGCTTAACCCAGTTTTATTTGTAATCCATATAGCAAACAAGTTTTCCCTTTTCTGTCTACTAAAGAGTATGTTGTTATTATTATTATTATTATTATTATTATTACATAGAGGAGGAAGCAGACGCTTAGAAATTTAAATAATTTGCCTCATAACTTAAGCAAGTAAGAGTCAGAGCTGTGATTTTCATCTAGTTCTTTTAACCTCAAAGTTCTTAAGTGGTCCTTCCTCTTCACCTTCTCTAGAAGCAGTTCCCTTCTATGTTGCAGTCTCCTTGAAGGCAAAGGTTGTGCACTGTCATGTTTTGAAGCCCAGTATCGCTGAGAACAATGACAGACACATGCAGTGGCTCAGTAAGTATTTGCTGGAGTTGCAATATCTTGCTCTATCACTTTCTGTCCTTTTTACCCTCTGTAGATTATCATAAAATCTTGTAGAATTGCCTTTTCATCCATTCTGCTGACAAACCATTTCCCCAAAGTGCTGTCATTTGATTAGATTTGCTTCAACATCTGAAAGCTGGACACACTCCAAGGCCTGCTGGTGGAGATTTGACACTGCCATTTGACTTGGAGAATGGTGCTTTGGTGGTGCTAGTGGAATCGGTCCAGTAACTAATGGGAACATCAATGATGGGTTCAAATCTGGGATGCATTAAGGTAATTGCATGGACACGCCAGCTTAGGAGACATGGATTTTCATCTCTGTTTTGATGCTACATTGGTGCCATGTTTCCCGAGGATGCACTCGCAAGCGTAATGAGGGCTGCTGTCTCCTTCTCCAACTGTGTGTTGTTGGAGTGCATAGTATGGGGGGAATTCAGTTCCAGACTTTGGTTTTCTGCTATATACAACAGTATTTGGATGCTTCTGTGACTTTTCCAGGTATTGGCTGTATCTGACCTAACTTTCTGCCAACTCATAATGCAATGTGGCTCTAGTAAGGAAACCATCAGCCCATCTCCGAGCCTGTTTGCTCATGTATTTCAGTACAACCATCAGCATTTGCCCAGAAGATTGCCTTAGAGGTTTTAGTGGTGGCTGACTCTTTAATGCAAAAGAAACAAAGCTGTCCATCAGAGCAGAATTTAATTTTTATGATGATGATTTGAGATTTGCTTGTTTTAAAAGTAGGGGATAATGCAGGAGAAAAAATTAAACAAACAGAAAATATCAGATCAGGTCTTCAGTTCTCCATACTACCTGGTGAGATGGAACCCAGCTCCAAAAACTTTTAGCAATACTGATTTACCTTTGCATGTCAGGGTAAATCAAGAATTGGGAGCCAACAGGAGATGCCAGACTGAGAAAGTCTGGAACTTTGTTTTAGGAAGAACCACAGCACCAAGATGAAGATTATTTGTTTATTCTCTCATGTATGAACACAGCATACACTCACTTAGGAACACTGACTATGGACTGGCTGCTAGGGACACAAAAATGCATCAGATGTAACTTCTAATCTGAAGGTATTGGTAGTTTACTCAAAGCTACCAAGTCCATTATTATGAGCACTACTATCTTGCAGGTGTAGGAACTAAAAGTAAGGGAGATTAAGTAACTCACTAAAGTTTACTCAGCTAACAACTATCAAATCTAGGCGCTAGTTCCAGGACTTGTTTTTTTATTATTATACTTTAAGTTCTGGGATTCATGTGCAGAACATGCAGGTTTGTTACATAGGTATACACATGCCATGGTGGTTTGCTGCACCCATCAACCCATCATCTGCATTAGGTATTTCTCCTGATGCTTTCCCTCCCCTAGCCCCCCACCCCCTGACAGGCCCCAGTGTGTGATGTTCCCCTCCCTGTGTCCACATGTTCTCATTGTTCAACTCTCACTTATGAGTGAGAACATGTAGTGTTTGGTTTTCTGTTCCTATGTTAGTTTGCTGAGAATGATGGTTTCCAGCTTCATCCATGTCCCTGCAAAGGACATGAACTCATCCTTTTTTATGGATGCGTAGTATTCCGTGGTGTATATGTGCCACATTTTCTTTATCCAGTCTATCATTGATGGGCATTTGGGTTGGTTCCAAGTATTTGCTATTGTGAACAGTGCTGCAATAAACACAGGTGTGCATGTGTCTTTCTAGTAGCATGATTTATAATCCTTTGGGTACATACCCAGTAATGGGATTACTGGGTCAAATGGTATTTCTGGTTCTAGATCCTTGAGGAATCGCCACACTGTCTTCCACAATGGTTGAACTAATTTACACTCCTACCAACAGTGTACTTCTAACTCTAACTCCTGTCCTCTTTGCACAATGATGCAACTATAAAATATCAGCAACCTTATCATAAAGAAACTACAGGAATAAGTAAGAGCTTCATTCACCAGAGATGGAGCTTTAAGACAGGATAGTGATTCACTAAAGAGGCAGAGTATAAAGAGTTTTGCTTGGTAGGAAACAGTTACCAGAGAAGCGGATAAAACCACAGAATGGAGCCCTTAGCAACAATCTCTATGCAATGCCAGGGGACATCTTTTATCAGACTTTTGCTGTAATCCCCTTCTTGTGACCAGAATTGGTTTTGGAGTTGGGTACCTAGCTGGTGATGAACCAGGCCAAGGGATTTTAAAGCCACTGAGTTTAGAAAGCTAGCTTTAGAAAGCATGGAGCAAACTAGAGATTATTGCATCTTTTATCTAGTTGGTTTTGAAGGAATATTTTTTTAATGACTTCCTCAATATATTTGGGTACAGATTTTATAGAATAAATACTGTTATCAAATCAACACATGCTATTTCTTTTCAAGAACTAAAAGCATCATCAACCCTCAGAGTTAAAAATGATACTTTAACCAACCAAACATTTGCAACCACAAGTTGAACAAAACACAGTATGTTTCATATGTACCAACTATAATTACACAAAATGTGAGGTTTAACTCACAACCATCATTGGTTTGAGGTGGTTTTCTTCTTCTATACTTTTGTGGGATATCCCTTGGAGACATTATAATCTAGAAATATGACTTAGCTTAATGGTTAAGAGCAAAGGTATGCAACTTACTATTTGGATTTAAATCTTGGCCTTATCAATTAATAATGTCCTTGAGCAAATTTAGCCTCTGTCTCAGTTTCTGAAGGCATATGACAGTATCTATCTTGTAGGGATATAGTAATGATTCAATGGGTCTCTACAAAGAACACAGGAAAGTGTCTAGCACACAATATGTCTTTTATTAATATTAAGTCTTATTTATGTAGACTAACAAATTCTTTGTAATACTTTCCCAGTTGCAAAAAAAAAAAAATCAGCCTTTTCAAGTCATGTACAGTTTTCTTAAGAGTGTCAGTTATTTAGTTAGGTATTGCCTTGTTCCAGATGAATTTAAAATATGTAGACATGGAGAATTTCCTTCTTCGTATCCCAAGTGGGCTTGGAATACAATATAGCATACCATTATCTCCTCTCTACAGCCAAATTAAGATCTCGGAGTTCATGGTAGGGCTATGTTCTTTATGTTTATCAACTAATTCTACATCAACCAGGAACATCCAGCACTTATGTATCTGGCTTGGGGCCAAGTGTCTATTCCTATTTAATTCTGCCCTAAAGATTCCTGGTCCCAACCAGGGTTATAGTCAGAAGCTAGAGAGGAAGGGCTTTCCAGTTCTCCCTCAGTACCACTGCTGAGGGTAATCCACCTGGAAGCTATGTCAAAGATATCCATTGTAGAGGAGAATTCATTTCCAGGTACATGGAGGTCCTCTTGGCATAGTGTATGGAGTTGGCATAATGTATGGCGATGCATAGGGTGTTCTGGTGGATGTCCAACTGGCCCTAATGGGATGGGTTTGTTGAGCTATGTGGTGGAGAGACAGATTGACTTGTAGCTCTGTTGTGCATAATACAACCAATCTTTTCATCCTAAGAGACAAAGACGTGGGTCCTAGATGCATCTACCATGCATCAAGATAAACAAAACACTTTATAAAACACATTGACAAATCGCTTTGTTTCTTCATCCTATATCAAATTAAATATATGCTTTGCTCTCAGTTTTGCTATCGGTAGACATGCATAATATTTAGTTTCCCAGCTTAGTTGGGTTTCCAGTTGCACCCAAGAAGACATTGCAAGGGACTATATATGTCCAGTGATTCATAGGAACCCCAATGAATAGAATAATACAGGTATAGGGTACCACAGATAATACTGGATATTACTTTTTGGATTTCTAGAAAGGTCTGTTCTCCCTCACCTTTTTAGGTATCAGAATGCCATATTATGTATTTCTTCTTAGATAAGCAAGAGTCTCTCTCTACAACACTAGGAGACATCTTAGTTTCTCAGCTTAATTGGGTTTCCAGTTGCACCCGATAAGACATTGGAAGGGACTATATATGCTTAGTGATTCATAGGGATGAATCATTAGCCATTTCATTTTTGAAAAGTTTTCATATAACAGTCTTAGCAAGAATTCTTTGATTTTTCCAGATATTACTGCTTTCTGTCTCTCTTGTTAAAATGTCTATGTATTGAGAAATATTGCTGTTGTTTCCTCTGCGACAGAACCCACTTAACAAGTATTTCCTGAACACATACTATAAGTGAGGCACTATTGTTGAAACTGAGGGCACAACAGTAATACCTATTTGAGATTTTAACTTCCTGAATCTATTATATAATTCTTATTTATAGTGCCTCAGATAACAGTATCATGCTAACAGGCTATTAATAACTAATTTATTGGTCAAACGAATCTAGGTAAGAGAAAATCCATCTTATTTCTCCATATGTTATTGTGCTTTTCATTAAAACAAACTGATTCACAGTAGTTTTAATCTGGGAAAAATAAATGTACAAAGTCGCAGTGAATTCATCACATGTCCATTCTTGGTTTCCCTTCATTCTCAACTATCTCTAACTCAAGGCACTCAGCATTCACACATATCTGGCCACAAGCCCTAATGAGTCAGCGCAATCACATTTGTTCTTGTGAACTGAATTATTAGCTAATGTTTTCTCCTTTTGCCCAACAAGTATGGAAGAAAAAGTGAGGGTAATTAAGGAGCTATACAATGCTGTTCTTCAGCTATTCGGTCATAAAGTACTTGGCATTGTTTAAATCAGTATAAAAATTACTCACTTTATTCCCCACTGGTCAAATTCTCTCATTCCTTCCCAGTAAATCCCGTTTAATGTAAAAGTAACTGAATGCAGAATTTATCCAAGCTACCCTTCTCCATAAAAGGCCAAGAATTTAACACCTTGTGGATGATTCCTTTTCCTTGATTTAGGAAGATAAAACTATTTAGGAAGGAATTCCTAGGTCAAACATTATGAGCTTACTGTGGCCTTGAGGTTGTGACCTTCATTGGAACTCATCAAGAGTGTCCTGCCATGTCTTTAACCTTTCAATCTAAACAAGAAGTTAATTTGGGTGTGGGGGCTGCGGAGATGTTTATTTGGTTCTTTTTAAAGAATTTTTTTTGTGAATCAGCATTTTGATGTCTTAGAAGTTCTTGATGAATCCCATTACTTAAAAATACAGGATAAGTTATTTTTATAGGGCTTTTAACTAGTTACTGATGTAATTTGCTATGCATTGTTTACCCGTTGATCCCTAAATTACTGTTATCTTTGACATTTTCTTTAAATAAAGGAAGACATTTTGACCTTATGCTTCAAATATGCTATTTCTGTTAAAAAGGAAGAAATGCCAAATGTGAGTGGCTGTGTTATTTTTATACTTAGCCTGCTAGTTTCAATTTATATTTACTATGGTTTTAAAAGAATTGAAAGCAAAATGTATAAGGCTTTTGAAATAGACTTGTGTTCGTGATATCCTCTTCATTCCCTGGAAAGACATTTAGGTAGATTTACAAATGAGTTTAAAATTTTACTACACTTTTCAAAAAAAATTAAAGCCCAGATCCTAAGACTTTATGAAATAGATCTCTGTTCCTAGACTCTTCTCTGTTCCTGAAAATACATTTGTTGTATTCTTGCAAATGAGTTTAAGATAATTAGCTGACGCTCTAGAAGGAGTTTATTAATGGGTTGAGGATGATCACAGGTGATGCTAAGAATGAATGAGCTTGTCTCTTTATTCCATCACATGTGAAATGCTGCTGTATCTTTAACTTTGTGTTCAGTGGTAAGGCAGTAAGTAGCAGTGCAAATAGACTATTTCTCATTTCAACTCACACAACCTGGTGAGTGAGTAAGTTTCCATTCAAGGCTGGGAGGGAGGCATTTGAATATTAATCCTTTTCAAAGGAGATTTTTTTTTTCTCCCTAACAGTCATAACATTCACTTAGTATGAGATCTTGTGACGTCATAATTCTGGATGTGGCATTCATTTTCTATTTTGACTGGCTTACGTGTTATCGTGCTTCTACCCTCATGCTGTGTAAGAATCTCCCTAATGAAGAAAAATCTACCAAGCAAATAAAAAACAGAAAAAGTGGGAGTTGCAATTTTAATTTCAGACCAAACAGACTTTAAACCAATACAGTTCAAAACAGACAAAAAAGGGTATTACATAATGGTAAACAGTTTAATTGAACAAGAAGACCTAACTATCTCGAATCTATATGCACCCGACACAGTAGCACCCAGATTCCTGAAGAAAGTTCTTAGAGACCTACAAAGAGACTTAGATTTACACACAATAATAGTGGGGGACTTCAAAACCCCACTGGTAGTATTAGATAGATCACTGAGGTGGGAAATTAACAAAGAGATTCAGGACCTGAACTCAATACTTGACCAAATGGGCCTAATAGACATCTACAGAACTCTCCACCCAAAGACGACAGAATATACATTCTTTTCATCACCACAAGGTACATACTCTAATATTGACCGTGCAGTTGGATATAAAACAACCGTCAACAAACTCAAAATAACTGAAATTATGTCAACCATACTTTTGGACCACAGCAAAATGAAAAATAAAAATCAAGGCCTAGAAAATTGCCCCAAACCATACAATTACATGGAAATTAAACAATGTATTCTTAAACAACTCTTAGGTAACTAATGAAATTAAGCAGAAATCAAGAATTTCTTTGAAACTAATAAGAACAAAGACACAACATACCAGAATCTCTGAGACACAGCTAAGGCAATGTTAAGATGGTAATTTATAGCACTAAATGCCCACATCAAAAAGTTAGACAGATCTCAAATTAACAATGTTACATCACAACTAGAAAAACTAGAGAAGCAAGAACAAACAAACCTAAAGTTAGCAGACGATGAGAAATAACCAAAATCAAAGCTGAACTGAGGAGATTGAGACACAAAAAACCATAAAATAGATCAACAAATCTGGAGTTGTTTTTTTGAAAAAATTAATAAGATAGATGGACTGCTAGCTAGACTAATAAAGAAAACAAAGAGAGAAGATCCAAAAAACATAAAAATGACAAAGGGGACATTACCACGGACCCCCCCAGAAATATAAATAACCACTGGGGACTGCTATGAACAATTCAGTGCACAAGAAGTACAAAATCTAGAAAAACTGGATACATTCCTGGACACATACATCCTCCCACAAGTGAACCAGGGAGAAATGGAATTCCCTGAATAGACCAATAATTAGCTCTGCAATTGAATCAGTAATATGTAACCTACCAACCCCCCAAAAAGCCCAGGACTGGATAGATTCACAGACAATTTGTACCAGATGTACAAAGAAGAGCTGGTACCATTCCTACTGAAGCTATTCCAAAAAATTGAGAAGAAGGGACTCATCCCTGGCTCATTCTGTGAGGCAAGCAGCATCTTAACACCAAAACCTGGCAGAGACACAACAACAACAACAATAAAACATTTCAGGCTGATATTCTTGATTAACATAGATGCAGAAATCTTCAACAAAATACTAGTAAACGGAATCAAGCAGCACACCAAAAAGGTGATCCACTACGATCAACTAGGTTTTATCCCTGGGATGCAAGGTTGGTTCAGCATAGGCAAATTAATAAATATGACTCATCACGTAAATAGAACTAAAAACAAAACCCACATGATCATTCCAATAGATGCAGAAAAGGCTTTCAATAAAATTCAACATCCTTTCATGTTAAAACTCTCAAAGTAGGTATTGAAGGCACATAATTCAAAATAATAAGTGCTATCTAGGACAAAGCCGCAGCCAACGTCATACTGAGGGCAGAAGCTGGAAGCATTTCCCTTGAAAACTGGAACAAGACAAGGATGCCACCTTACTATTCCTATCCAATATAGTATTGGAAGTCCTGGCCAGAGCAATCAGGCAAGGGAAAGAAATAAAGGGCATCCAAATAGTAAGAGAGAAAGTCAAACTATCCCTGTTTGCAGACAACATTATTCTAGATCTAGAAAACCCCATAGTCTCTGTCCAAAAGTTTCTTGAGGTGATAAGCAACTTCAGCAATGTTTCATGATACAAAAGGGATGTGCAAAAATCACTAGCATTCCTATACACTAACAACACCTGAACCGAGAGGCAAATCAGGAATGCAATCTCATTCACAACTGCCACAAAAAGAATAAAATCCCAAGGAATACAGCTAATCAAGGGGGTGAAGGATCTCTACCATGAGAATTACAAAAGGCTGCTGAAAGAAATCTAGAGATGACACAAACAAATAGAAGAACATTCCATGCTCTGGGATAGGAAGAATCAATGTCATTAAAGTGGCCATACTGCCTAAAGCAATTTACAGATTCATCACTATTCCTATCAAACTACCAATGATGTTCTTCACATAACTAGAAAAAAACTATTTTAAAGTTCATATGGAACCAAACGAGAGTGTGAATAGCCATTGCAATCCTAAACAAAAAGAGCAAAGCCAGAGGAATCACACTGCCAGACTTTGAACTGCACTGCAAAGCTAAGTAACCAAAATGGCATGGTACTAGTACAAAAACAGACACACAGACCAATTGAACAGAATACAGAACCCAGAAATATGACCTCACAAATACAACCACCTGATCTTTGACAAAGCTGACAAAAACGAGCAATGGGGAAAGGACTCCCTATTCAAAAAGGGTGCTGGGACAACTGGCTAGCTATATGCAGAAGGCTGAAACTGGACTCCTTTTTTATACACATAAAAAATCAACTCAAGATGGATTACAGACCTAAATGTAAAACCTGAAACTATAATAACCCAGGAAGGTAATGTAGGAAACACCACTTTGGACACAGGAACTGGCAAAGATTTTATGGTGAAAATGCCAAAAGCGATTGCAACAAAAGCAAAAATTGACAAATGGAACCTAATTAAATTAAAGAGCTTCCATACAGCAAAAGAAACTATCAACAGAATAAACAGGCAGCCTACAGAATGGGAAAAAGTATTTGGAAACTATATAGCTGACAATGGTCTAATGTTCAGAATCAATAAGGAACTTAAGCAAACATACAAGCAAAAAACAACTCCATTAAAAACTAGGCAAAGGACATGAACAGACGTTTTTCAAAAGAAGACACACAAGTGACCGACAAACATGAAAAAATGCTCAATACCACCAATCGTTAGAGAAATGCAAATCAAAACCACAACGAGGTACCATCTCACACCAGTCAGAATGGCTATTATTAAAAAGGCAATAAACAACAGATGTCGGCAAGGTTGCGGAGAAAAGGGAACACTTATGCACTGCTGGTGGGAGTGTATATTATTTCAATCATTGTGGAAAGCAGTGTGGCGATTCCTGAAAAAACTAAAAACAGAACTACCATTCGACCCAGCAATTCCACTTCTGGGTATATATTCAATGGAATATAAATTGTTCTACCACAATGATACATGCACATGTATGTTCATTACAGCACTATTCACAATAGCAAAGACAGATCTAAGTGCCCATCAAAGGTAGACTGGATAAAGAAAATGTGGTACAGACACACCATGGAATACTGCACAGCCATAAGAAAGCATGAAATCATGTACTATTCAGCAATATGGATGGAGATGGAGGCCATTATCCTTAGGAACAGAAAACCAAATACCACATGTTCTCAGTTATAAGTGGGAGCTGAATAATGAGAACACATTGGCAGAAAGAGGGGAACAACAAACATATGTATGTATGTGTGTGTATATATATATATGGTTCATGCAGCCATGGAGGCTGGGAAGTCCTACCACTTGCTATCTGTAAACTAAAAACCAGGAAAGCCGGGGATGTAACTAAGTATGAGTCCAAAGACCTGAGAACCAAGGGAGCTGATACTGTAAATCCCATTCTGAGAACAGAAGAAAATGAGATGAGATGTCCCAGCTCATTAAGTGAGGCAGGGAGAAGGGGTTGAATTCCTCCTTCCTTCCCCTTTTAATTTTTAGAAACACTATTGCTAACATTCAGTATATTTAGGCATTTTTCTTGTACATTTCAAAAATTGTGTAACTTCTTGGTTTCTAATAATGATCACTTGAATCCAATATGATACATCATGTGGTAACATTTCCACATTATGGATTATGAGTGTCATATTTTGTCAAGATGGCACTTCCTTGTGTAGAATCTGAACCTTCTGTTAATTGACTTTTAGTCCTCCACTTTGATATAAATCTTTGCCTTCTGGGAGGAGTTGATTACTTCAAACATGACCTGTGGATATGCTTCTTGACAATTAGTAAAAATTCCTTTTCTTAATGGACAGAATGGAAATTTCTGTGACATACTTCCATTCAATCTCATCGATGAGGAGCTTCCCATGGGTCATTGTAAACATTACACATGGATCACTCAACAGCAATCAATTAGAAGTCTTTGCATAGACAGTTAATCTCTACATACAAGAGTCTATTCGTCTGAAAAAAAATTACAAACCAAAATGTTGAAACAAATAATGCAGTTCTTTCTTATATAAGCACTTCATTTTTTATTTATGAAATATATGTCTCTGAGTAATAATTATGGAGATTGATCTTGCCAGCTCATTGGATATGCTTTTTATCTTAGTAAGAAATGGGCTGGTAAATAATATTTTGGAAAATGCCAAGGCTCAATCTATATTCAGGGGTCCTGCATTCTTCTGTTCAGGGATTCATGTTTTGTTTACTTTAACAGAGAAGGATTCAAGTCTTTCAAAATATAACTTTTCAGGAACTATGCTAATGGTTTTCTGTTATTTGCTTTGCCTTGAATCATTTTCGGGATTAGTTTTATTCAAGCTTTAGGACTAAGACCGCCTACTGCTAGTATTTGTACTTAACTTTACCTGCCTGTTAATGCTTAGGTTCTTTCAAAACATCACAATTAGACTCTTAATAAGCTTTTGGACTCTTCCCTCCAGAGTGGGTTTGCCAGGTGGTTCCTCTGCTTAGAAACTCTTTTCTCTCCTTTTGGCCTTGTTACTTTTTTACTTATTCTTCAGATGTGCATTTTCCCTAAGCCTTTGTTTTGATTCTCATAATATCATGCACTTCTTCTTTGTAATGTCTACCATTGGTGCAATTTACTTTTATTGATAATTTTATTAATATTTCTCTATATTTACAAGACTGAAACTCTGCGATAAAAGAAAATACATCTATTTTTTCTTACTATTGTATCCTCAACCATTAGCATATGATCCTGGAATTATACACATGTAAGTTTATAGGCTTAAGAGATGTATCCATTACCGATTGCAAACAATCACTTTCTGTCCACTCTTTGGCCATAATTATTTACATCCCTTCTACATAAAGATGCACTACCTTCTCCTCAGGAGTCTTATTCCATTATGACATTAGGGTCAAATCATCCAGGATCTCATCATCTAAATCAGGAGCAGATCTGAATTGAGCTTCTTAGATACAGCTACTCAGATATGGCTCCTCTTGATCCATGGATCAGTGTCCTAAAAGGACTTGTTATCTGTATTTCACCCCTGACCCCATTACACACACTTAGCCAGGTAATCATAATAGATACTCTCTTCAAAAGGTGAGGAGCAAGAAGCTTGTATCAATCGCTGTTCCATAGCAATTCTGAAATCCAGCTGGGCACAAGCTGCTTTAAGGTCTCCTATTTCACGGGCAGGGAAAATGTGTTGGTTGGGGTTAAGTCATATTTGCAGAAAGTAGTTCCCTAGGCCATTGTCCCCTTCTGCTCTTAGCTTCACCTCCAGGCTCTTAGTTCCAGTCTCTGAGACACCTTTCTTGTTTGATAAGAAATTCCCCGTGTTTGCAGCTAAGTAGCCTTCTTACCCTGCTTCCTGCCCATAGAAAGTTGGGGGCCCAGAAGCCGTGTCCATTTGGAAGTGTCTCTGTTCTATGCTTTTACCATGCTGGCAAAAGTCCCTGAAAAAGTTCATGTGCCACATCAAATGTATATATATTCTATTACACTCTCTTGTAAAAGCCACACACCATTATTTTGGAAATAGTCCTGTTCTACTTTGGGTGGCAGGTCAGGATGCTGTGGGACAACCTTCTTAAGATTCATAGAGGCCCTTTGCCCTACTGAGAGGATCTACTAGGCACTTTCTTAAGTTATTCTTAGGTCTTAAAAAAGATTTTATAGCCATACCTTTATTCTTTATTCTGGAGCTATTTCTTGCTGGGACAACTTTTGTGGGCTGTAGAGACATATAAGATGAGAAAGAGTTTTATTTCCCAACCCAGGAAGTCTTGGCCCCTCAGTATTTCCAAACTGAATAGTTTTTTTCCTTAGCTTATGTCTCTCTTACAGCACTTTGTCATACACAGCCAGATGTACCAAACCAGTAATTTCGCATTCTCTCCGAAGTTCTTCTTATCCAGATCTGCAAGTTATTTATGCATATTTTCTACTTTCCAAGTTACTACAGGTGATCATTTTTCAAATCTTTCCACCTCTATATACTATAGGGGACTGGTATCTTCTAGCGGTTTCTCACTGCTTTTTCCCTTTCCCAAAAGTTTTTTTGCCACTTCTGTATGCTTCACCCACAACCCATCTCCTACCAGAGCCAATGCCACAGGTTTAAGATTTTTGTTATGACAGCCATTTTTTGATCTCATTATTAAAAATTCAGTTATCTATTACTGCATTAAAAATCCACTATTTTATTGGCTCCCAATTCTTGGGGCAGCAGTTGGAGCTGAGCTTGTTGGACAGTTCTTCTGTGGGTCTTGCCTGGGATGAATCATGACTCCAATCAGTTGACAGTCAATGGGAATGGCTCTTCTATGAGGGCTTCACTCAATGGCAATGGCTGTTCTATGAAGGCTTCACTCAACAGGAATGGATGTTTTAGGCAGGCTTCTCTCAATGGGAATGGATGTTCTATGAGAGCTTCATGCAATAGGAATGGATGTTCTATGAAGGCTTCATTCAGTGAGAATGGATATTCTATGGGGGCTTCCCTTAATGGGAATGGGTATTCTATGAGGCCTTCACTCAATGGGAATGGATGTTCTATGGGGGCTTCACTCAGTGGGAATGGATGTTCTATGGGGGCTTTACTCAATGAGAATGGATGTTCTATGGGGGCTTCACTCAGTGGGAATGGATGTTCTATGGGGGCCACACTCAGTGGGAATGGATGTTCTATGGGGCCTCACTCAATGAGAATGGATGTTCTATTGGGGCTTTACTCAGTGGGAATGGATGTTCTATTGGGGCTTCACTCAATGGGAATGGATGTTCTATGGGATCGTCACTCGACAAGAATGGATGTTCCATGGGTGCTTCACTCAATGGGAATGGATGTTCTATGGGGGCTTCACTCAATGGGAATGGATGTTCTATGGGGGCTTCACTCAGTGGGAATGGATGTTCTATTGGGGCTTCACTCAATGGGAATAGCTGTTCTATGAAGACTTCATTCAATGGAAATGGATGTTCTATGAGGGCTTCATTCAGTGGAAATGGATGTTCTGTGAGGGCTTTACTCAATGGGAATGGATATTCTATGGTGGCTTGACTCAACAGGAATGGCTATTCTATGAGGGTGTCACTCATCGGGAATGGATATTCTGTGAGGGCTTCACTCAACAGGAGTGGATGTGCTATGAAGGCTTTACTCCATGAGAATGGATGTCCTATGAAGGCTTTACTCCATGAGAATGGATGTTCTATGAAGTCTTTTTTTTTTTGAGACGGAGTCTCGCTCTGTTGCCCAGGCTGGAGTGCAGTGATGTGATCTTGGCTCACTGCAAGCTCCGCCTCCTGGGTTCACGCCATTCTCCTGCCTCAGCCTCCCAAGTAGCTGGGACTACAGGCACCCGCCACCATGCCTGGCTAATTTTTTGTATTTTGTTTAGTAGAGATGGCGTTTCACCATGTTAGCCAGGATGGTCTCGATCTCCTGACCTCGTGATTCGCCCACCTCGGCCTCCCAAAGTGCTGGGATTACAGGTGTGAGCCACCGCGCCCAGCCTATGAAGTCTTTACTCCATGGGTGTGGAGGTTCTATGAGGGCTTAACAGGAGTCTCTGGCTTTTTAATGAATACACTGGCTCTGTTTTTGAGTGATTGCAACCCAAAACTCTTCCCTATAGGGAAGGAGATTCTAGGAAATGTAGCTCTTAGCTTTTCCAAGTTGACCCCCAGCACAGGAAAGCATGAAACAAATTCCAAACTATGGCAACAGTTTTTATGGAATGCAGACTTTATTCTTAATGTTTCCCCAATGTAGGAGTATGTAAACTAGTAGACATATGGACCCTGGTCCTACTGAACTGAATTCCTGTTTACCTATACTTGTTCAAGGTATAGAACTTGGCAGACAATCTGACATAGTCATAAGTGTCTTTAATGGAAATTGCAGTTTGGCATTTCCAGTTTGAGTCTCACTAAAAAAAATGGAAAAACGTTTCCTTGCTCTAAAACCATGAACCTTCCAAACTTATATGGGATCTGACAAATACAATGGTTGTTGCCAAGGCCTATCAGGCAGGCACGACATCCCAGCTATAGATGCATATTCATTCCTTCTTTTATTTTATTGTTAACCTTTGCTTCAGTGCACTCACAACAAGATAGCATGTTCTATAGTTGTGTTTTAGAAGTTTTTTAATTTCAGTTGTTGCTGGAAGCACTGCATTGGAAATTAGATGCTTTTAGTACTTCATCTATTGCGGATTTATTCATTCATCTTGTATATAGATACAGTGGCACTACAGTATGGTTTTGTAGTGCTGGATGCAAATGCCAGTGTCCAGAGAACATTTCTTGGCAACTTATTGGCCTAGAATGGGCCATGCCAGCATTAGTGCCTGGTGGCGTTTGGCTCCCTGCTCTTCATTAAATGGCAGAAGACAAAAGAGAAGAGAAGAGAAGAGTAATACTTGAATTTCTTGACTATAATGGTTTCTGGATTTTTTAAAGTAGCGGATTCAAATAAATCTCAGGCCTCAACTTCTCGTGAGGACACGTTGCTTTGATATTTATTTAAGTGACACTCTTGCGGTCTTCCAGTAAATGCTTAAGACTTATTCTAGGTTGTGCAATTTCTAGAAAAAATAAGCATTTGGTTTCTTGAAATATATAAAAATTCTCAAAACATTCTAAAAATCCATTATTTAAAATACCCTGGTTTTAAAAATGTAATTTTCGCTGATCAATTTAGTGCCTAGGATAGTGCCAATCAGATAAACGGTTTTAATGAATTTTTTAAAAATAATAACTGTTAAATGGAAAGGAAGTATTTTCCCAGGGTAGCCTGATTCCCCAAACAATTGGCCTTACTTTTTCATTATACAAAAGCGTTTAAAAGAAATTGGACCCTAAGGTCTAAATAGATGCATTAATAATTCTTTCTTCTAATATTAATATTCACAGCAGTTACAATAAAACAACCTTGGTTTATGTTAAATTTGCCCTATTTTCCTTATTTAATAATTAAAATAGCACATTTACTTGTACATGGTTCCGGAAGAGAAGTCTGAGGAATGTTATAGACTTAGAACAGGTTATGGATATTGTTTCAACAACATTTAACGTATTCTCCTTTTCCTCATTAGTTGGGTGACTATCTAATGAAGTTCTCCCTATGTTAGAAATTAGTAGAAAAATAGTGTAAAAGAAACATTCAAAAAGCACACTGTGGAGTGTTTGGCTATCTCCTCACTTTTAGCACAGGCAGCTGGAAGATGCTTTAAGTACTTTGGATTCAGGTCCCCTTGTAAACATGCTCACTCTGTCTTCTTTATATCTTGTGGACACTCCGTTAATGTTTATTAAATGGGTAAGTAGTGATTCAATTATTTTGCTATTATGATAAGGTGGCATTGACTCAGTATAGCTATGTGTCTCCCAAATTTTCCCTCTTAAGAAACTTTTTCAGGAATGTGTTATTCCTGTTTTTGAAAAGTAGATAAAGTTACCCTTCAGACAAAGTAATCTATCTCATTCCTCATGGCTGGAAAATAGCTAGCTGCTTTGAAACCTATTGCCCACTAAAGCTAAAATCCACAATCTTTAGACTATGGAAGCAAACAAGTTGAAAGGCCTTTGAAAAGACAATTCCAATTATTGTTTCCATATTCTTACTGTTTTGGAACCCAGCACAAATAAATTGTGATGACATGAGGTGACACTCATGCTGCCTGTGGCAGGGCGCATATTTAAACTTTACCACAATTTTTGAGTCATTATTTCAGTGGACCAATTTCAGAATGGTCTACTGATAGGCATTATGGTACCACAACCTTTAGTCACTCATGTGTGTCCTGAATTATGATGAAGTGCACATAATGCTTTCTGGGTTCAGCATTTGGTGTGATTGTCTGATTTGCTTGTTTGTTTATTAAATCATACTTTTCAAAGAAAGTCTAATCTTGAATGGAATATAAGAATGATAATAATAGGAAATTATAGATTTTCCTTCAAGTTCTGAGCTTGGAAGCTCTTATCAGCTGTGTTAGGTGTACAAATTCTGAGTGAGAAGTACCTTAATAGCTTGGCCCAATATAAAACATTATATTTTTGTCTAAGCAGAAAGAATAGATTAGCTTTTTCTTCTTTATTTTCTTTTTGAGACGTATATAATTCTGGATATTGACAACAAAGAGCAAGTGAGTCTTTTTAAAAATTTACTTATTGCTCAAGGCCTTTTTAGGAGGGAAATATTTCCTCTCTCTGTGAAGAAAGATGGAAGGCAGCTAAGGTTGCCTTGTCACTCTGCCATGTCCCTCTTCTTGGATTCTTTCACATTGTTATATAATCCTCAGACTCTTACACTTTTGCCAGCCCAAATCCTACCAGTCCTTCAGAGTCCATCTCCCAAACCATTTTTCCCAGCAGATGGTCCTTAAACATTTATTTCCAGCTACAAGTGGCCTCTTATCCGCTCCATACCTTTTAGAACTTTCCAACTAGACAATTAACAACAGGGCTGTGGTATGTCTTCTCTCCTCGCAGAAGGGGAAGGACAGAGTCCATTGTATTTGTGCTCCATTGTTATCAGTACAGAAAATCAGTGCAGTTAAGTCATGGGTGATGAATAGAAGAATATCTAATACGTCCAATTAAACTCTAACTTCCAAAGGGAAGAACTAACCCTTCCCACAATTTTGCAGCTAGATCTAACTTCCTGCTCTGTGGTATTGTTTTCAGGTGGCATGGCTTACAGGATGGATGAACTTGCCTCAGCTGAATCACTGAGAGCTTTAGGTTTGTTTGGGGGACTTGGTGATTCAAAAGGAAGTAAGAACGTATATTGGAGAAAAGGAGAGATATGCTGCTGACAGTGGCAGTGTAAGCAAATGGCACTTGTTATTTGTTAATCCTCTGCAATTAACAGCGACACGGGAAAAATATGGTTTGCAAGGACTTACGATGTGATTGTAACATATCCCAGGAAATCATGTTGGATTTAATCGCAGGTGTGAAATTAAGCAATGCTATTTTCCTAAATACTATAATTAACCTATATTTCCAGGAAGAGGTCTTGAAGGTTCTATACAATTCTCTGTAGTCATCCCTCCTTATGTGTTTACTTCTGAAATGGTGGGCGTGCCTCAAACAGGTTTTCTCCATGAGTTTTTGACCCGTTCCTAACTCTAAGGCAAGTGGTGAATATCAGAACAATCCTTGTTTATCTCCAGCTATCCCTCTTTTGTTCCCTCTGTTTTAAAAATGTGTGTTGCAGGTTTTTGTTAATGCTTAATTTTGCTTCCAGTAACAACGTTCTCTATATTTGGCTTTGTTGTATTTGCCACTTAAGAATGCAGAATTTATTATTATGTGCTTAAAGCAATCATTTAACGCTGACATTTTAAGTATGACAATAATCCAAGTAATTGTTACCCATTCAGTTAACTGAAAACATCTTTACTTCCTGAGACAACTAATTGTAATGCAGTGTTACTGTCTTTTAATTGTAGACATGTTTGTTTTTGTGTTTGTTTTGGTTTAGGCTGTCTTCAAGGACATCCCTAGTCTCATATTTGGCAATCTGCCCTTATTCTCTGTCTGCTGCTTTCTGAAAATAAATGAAAAGACTGTTGTGACACTCTTGAAGGAAAACAAGAGGATTTTTATTTTTCACAAGCTTTGCTCATGACTTCAGGACACTGGATGATGAGCTATTTTTAAAACTATCTGATCAATTGCTATATAAATGGAAATTAATTTCTAAATGTACTCAAAGATTCTAGAAGATGAATTCAGACATCTCAGCTACTATTCGTCTATGTGGCTCTTTACCATTGGAGAAAGGCGGTGTTGCCTTCTGGCTTCATAGGACTTGAGTTCAAATTCTCACTGTGGCTTTTATCCCTGGGGGTAGTTCTATTTTGATTTGCTTTACAGAGGGGTTATTGCAGTTTCCCTTCATTTTGAGAATCCCCGACATTCAGGAATTTTTAATTTCCTAATTTAGTATTAGATGTTTCCATTCAGAGCTAATTTAGAAGGCATTTAAGTATTCACTTTCTCACATCATATTCTAATCCTTTTTTTCCATTTAATACAGAGTTCTCCTGAATAACATATTGAGTGTTTTGTTTTGTTTTTACCAAGTAGGACCTAATAATTAATGTGCGGTTATGAAGAATAGTATGGGAAATGTAACATTTCACATAAAAACAGATTTTCCCCATGTTTCTGAATGTATTTGTGTGTGCGTTGTCTGTGATTGCCTCCAGGCAGATGCAATCCTAGTGCTGTGAATTGCTTCTGAACACATACACACACACACAGTCACACACACTCATACACACACAGAGCGGTTTTGCTGAGAAATATTTTGCTAGCAAATCTCACAGCTATCTCTCTAAATGACACTTGCTGCCCATATGTGCAGTGTGCATTTAATAATCATTCTGTCGCCTACGAAACACACACACATAGCACCAACTCCAGCATCTAAATCAATAAATAATTCAATTATTCTTTTACCTTTGCCATTCAACTGAAAGGCCATCCTGAATATTTAAAACAAAACTAGCAGAAACTTAGTTCCTTTGGTTTCCTGGCTTTGTGACTTGAGTGACTCCATCAAGGCAAACATGATGATGGCTGTATTCTGCTTTCTTATATTTTTCAACTCTCTTTAGTTTTGTTTACGCAGTAGATTTTTATTTAATGCCAATTCCTATTCTAGGTCTTGCTGGGTTTTAGGAATTCAATGTATTACGGCAGTCAGTATAAGTAAATAATACTTTCAAATTGCAAATAAAAGGAAAGCCAAATACCAATGGCCTAAATGATGAGAAGTCCATTTTTCTCAGGCAACAAGGAGTTGATAAGCAGGCAGTTGCTGGTATTCTTTCTATGGCATGGCTGTGTCAGCATTCTGGCTCAGCCTCTCCATGATTCTCTCCTTTGACCCTCATGATTTGACGAGCTCTGAATAACAAGATCACATTCAAAGGGAAAGAGGAGCTAGTGGGGAGTGAACTTATTTGTGTTTTCCCTTCTGCTAGGGAGAGGATTCACTTTCTCAGAATCCTTTCAGCAACATTCCCCTTGCATCTCATGGTCCACAACTGGGTCATGTGCCCACTCTTCATTACAAGGGGAAGTTGGAAAAAGCAATATCTAGACTTTTCCAGCCTCTATAGTTGGAGGAGGGCAAGGGACAGTTGGATTGGAAGGTGCTTTTGGGTAGCCAACTAATTATTGCCACATGGTCCCTGCAAATCTTACAATTATTATTATTAACTTTTTTTTTATTATTCACAGAAAATAGGCTCACCATCCCAACTCCACCCCAACACAGTGTATTAATACTAGGATTTATATTAGGATTTGTTTTAGTCAGTTTGGGCTACTGTATCAAAAATACACTGCATAGGATAAACAACACACATTTATTTTTGGAGGCTGGAAGCTTAACATCAAGGTGCTGGCAGATCTGGTGTCTGGTTGGGTTCTGTTCCTGGTTCGTGGATGGCTGTCTTCTCCTCGGATCCTAATAAGGCTGAGAGAACAAATTCTAGTCTCTTTCTTTTCTTACAAGGGCATGAATTCCATCCTGAGAGCTCCCACCCTCATGACCTCATCTGAACCCAATCACCTACCAACATTTACACCTCCTAACACCATCCCTAGAGGGTTGGAGTTTCACTATGTGAATTTGCAGGGAACACAAACATGCAGTCTACAATAGAATTATTTGGTCAAAATCACAAATTTTAATTTAAATGAGCTGATATGTGTGTGTGTGAGAGAGAGAGAGGGAGAGTGTGTGTGTGTGTGTGTGTGTGTGTGTGTGTGTATTTTTTTTTCTTTCTTTCTTTTTTTTTTTTTAGAAGGAGTCTCACTCTATCACCCAGGCTGGAGTGCAATGGTGTGATCTCGGCTCACTGCAATCAATCTCCACCTCCCAGGTTCAAGCGATTCTTCTGCCTCAGCCTCCTGAGTAGCTGACATTACAGGTGCGCACCACCACACCCAGCTAATTTTTGTATTTTTAGTAGAGACAGGGTTTCACCATGTTTGCCAGACTGGTCTCAAATTCCTGACCTCCAGGTGATCCGCCTGCCTCGGCCTCCCAAAGTGCTGGGATTATAGGCATGAGCCATCATGCCTGGCATCAATTTTTTTTTTAAAGGAAGATAGTGGCAGATAGAGAATAAAACTGGCCACTGACCTCAGGTATGATTTGACCCAGGGACACAATCACTCTATCTAGAATGTTTTTCCCTATTGTCATAACCTGACATGGTTTCATCTCATTCAGGTCTTCTCGAATGCCACCTTGTAGCCTTCCATGTTCACCCAACAGTCAATCCCTATCTCATTATCCTGATTCATATAATTTTTTCATAGCACTTACCAGTTTTTGATGTAATCTTAATTAGGTATAGTTGATGTACCCCCCAAAAAAATCCTGCACATGTATAATGTATACAATTTGATGACTTTGGACATATGCCATATCTGTGATACCATACTGGTGGAACCATGCCATCTTTTGGAGATGACCTTAATTTTAAAAGTAAGCCATATGAGCAGATGACTTAGACTTCCATAATACCTACCACTGATGCATTGGATTCCCTCTCTGAACTAATATCTGTGTCAATATAGGACAGAGGGCTTTTATGACCACCTGATGGAAAAGAAAAAAGAACGAGCATAGATTGCAGGTCACTCATGCAGTGGAAAACAGACAGCTGCTGCATTACAGCTCACTCGGGGTGTCCCTGCACGGTAGCAGGCAGGGGAAATTCTCCAGTGGGTAGCACTCTTGCAGGTGCAACTAGTCATTACCTTTGTGTTGAAAGTGACATGGCCTAAGGTAAACATCTGTGAGGGCTCATGATAGACGCAGAGGGCCTGGCTGCTTGGACAGGGGCCTGAAAGGGTAAAGAGAAAATGTATGTGGTAAGTTTTGAGAAGGAGTCACAGGAGTTTACGTTTGAAGTGGATACAAAGTGTAAACATTTTTGGATTGCATGTTAACACCCACAGGTAGCATCCACCCTGGAAGAGGCACCAAGCAAAAAGTAAATACAGTGTCTCAGCTCTTTAACCTGAGCTTTTCTTTATAATTGACCATCTCAGTGCTGGCACAACAAGTTCATGAACCAAATAGACATGTGGGCAGAGATGAAAGCTATGTGCAGGCGAACAGTATGGGCTGCCATTCACCATGACTTACATTAGCTAGTGCTGCCAAATGTCCAGCCCATCAACAATAGAAATAAATGCTGCCCTTGATACAGCATCATATCTCAAGGAGGCCAACCAGCCATTTGGTGGCAAGTTGACTACATTGGGCCCCTTCCTCCTTGGAAGATGCAGCAAGTCAGCTTGACGGGGAGCAATACATTCTAGATATGGGTTTGCATGTATCACTGTGTCCGGAATTGGTTCCTTCTGATGGGTTCTTGGTCTCACTGACTTTAAGAATGAAGCCGCGGACCCTCGCAGTGAGTGTTACAGTTCTTAAAGATGGTATGTCCGGAGTTTGTTCCTTCAGATGTTCAGATGTGTCTGGAGTTTCTTCATTCTGGTGGGTTCATGGTCTTGCTGACTTCAGGAGTGAAGCCACAGACCTTCACAGTGAGTGTTACAGCTCTTAAAGGTGGCGCATCCCGAGTTGTTCATTCCTCCCGGTGGGTTTCTTGCAGACTTCAGGAGTGAAGCTGCAGACCTTCGCAGTGAGTGTTATAGCTCTTAAAGGTGGCGCATCCAGAGTTGTTTGTTCCTCCCGGTGGGTTCGTGGTCTCGCTGGCTTCAGGAGTGAAGCTGCAGACCTTTGTGGTAGGTGTTAGAGCTCATAAAGGTAGTGCAGACCCAAAGTGTGAGCAGCAGCAAGATTTATTGCAAAGAGTGAAAGAACAAAGCTTCCACAGTGTGGAAGGGGACCCAAGTGGGTTGCCGCTGCTGGCTTGGGTGGCCAGCATTTATTCCCTAATTTGACCCCACCAATGTCCTGCTGATTGATCCATTTTACAGAGTGCTGATTGGTGTGTTTTTACAGCGTGCTGATCGGTGCATTTACAAACCTTTACCTAGGCATAGAGCACTGACTGGTGCGTTTTTACAGAGGGCTGATTGGTGCGTTTACAAACTTTAGCTAGACACAGAGTGCTGATTGGAGCGTTTACAATCCTTTAGCTAGACAGAAAAGTTCGCCAAGTTCCCACCTGATGCAGAAGCTCAGCCGGCTTAACGTCTCAATCCCCCCTCTAAACAGGACACGCCAACTGCTATTGGGAATTGGGCAGTGACTGCTCTAGCTACTTCCTGCTGGACAGGGGTGAAGAAGAGGCCCTGTAATTGTAGTGTCCTCCAGAGGGGAACTCTTTAGGTCAGTGAAAGGGCCAGGAGGTCGGTCCAGGGGTCCTCGATAGAAGTTGTTAGTTGAGCTCATTTGGGGTTCCATTTGTAAGACCATCTGTAGCTTGATGGCCTCGATCCTAGAGGAAACAAATTTGACAAGGAGGTTAAAAATACAGGGCCTGAAGGCGAGTAATAGCAAGATGGCTGCCATGGGACCTAGAAAGGGGAGAAACCATGTTGCCCGACTCCAGAGGTTGGTATAAGAATTTGAAAGGCATTCAGAAGCCTTTTCCTGTAAACGCCGGGTGGCATCTTGTACTGTCCCTGACTGGTTAGTGTAAAAACAACACTCTTCACCTAAGAAGGTGCAGAGTCCTCCTTACTCAGCAGTGAGGAGGTCTAGGCCTCGGCGGTTTTGGAGAGTCACTGCTGCCAAAGAGTCTATTGGGATTGTAGAGTAAGGATAGATTTCATCATTTCTTGCAAACTGTCTGAGAAATCCTTTGAGAGTGTGTGGTAGTAGGATAATGAAGTAGATAAACTGACAATTCCGGTTCCTGTAGCAGTAGCCATTCCTAACCCTATAAGTAGGTGTATTAGTTGTATAGCTCTGCGCTGACAGACTTGAGCTTTGAGGGGTACTGATGGTGTCTGATTTCCACAAGATTAGAAGTTAGCATAATATATGTTTACACTGTTAACTTTTAGCAAACTTTACTTTTGTTGAACACCTTGTAAGTTTGGGATCTCAATTATTCTTTGCTATTAGTAAGACCTCGTTCAGTCCATGTTAACTTAGAATTGGTATAGATGGCTTCTTCCTGATTCTGTAAGTACTTTAAGGTTTGGCTGAGTGCAAACAGCTTGCACATTTGAGCAAACCAATTATTAGGCAATTTTCCTAATTCTGCTTCTACAAGAGTTTCCTTATCATTTACTGAATACGCATTTTGTCTTTTTTCCTTAATCCCCCGGGAGGAACTATCTATCCTCCTGTCCTGAAGGGAGTTCCTCCTAGATCTTGTCAGACCTTTGTATGGTAATTAATTAAGATTTAGATCCCCTGTTAGGAATCCTGCTGATTAAGGATTTTTGATAGGAAGGCTACAGGTTGTCAGTGGCCTTAGTGCTTTCCGGCAACGCCCTTGTTTACATTGACAACAAGGTGATATTGGAGTGTTACAGGGTTACAGAGAAGACCTTCAATTATCCATTATAGGTTTTAACTTTACCCTGACTTTTAAAGGAATAGGGTACACTGTTTTTTGTTTACTACTTCCATCTCTCCCTTTGACTTCTTCATCTCTCTCTTTCTGACTCCCTCTTTGTCTGTCTCTTCCTCTCTCTCTTTGACTTTCCGTGTCTCTCTTTCTCTCTCTCCAACTCCCTCTTTGTCTCCGTCTCTTTCTCTCTTTGACTCTCTGTCTCTCTCTTTCTCTCTCTCTGGCTTCCTTTTTTGTCTCTCCCTTCCTCTCTGTCTCTCTGACTTCCTCTTTGTCTCTCTCTTTCTCTCTTTCCTTTCTGCTGGTCTTTCCCTGCCTCTGCCAGCTGCTTATGCTGCTGTTCTACCCTCTCCTTCCCCTTTTTGATGGCTTCAGCAGTGTAAGACTGCCACTTCCTTGGGTTTTTGCACTGCATGCAATAACCCCATAATTTCCTTGTGGTATTTAATCGGGGTTCCCCCAGAGGTTAGGAACTTCCTTTCTTTCCATATTGCAGCATAGCCATGTAGGATTAGATAAGCATACTTACTATCTGTAGCAAAGTCTCCCAATTACAACTGAGGAGGTAGGAGAAATACCTGGTTACAGGCTGTCCCAGGATTCCTCTGATGGTAATGGACCTTGAGGACAGCTGTCTGGGACCGGAGATTAACACTGAGAAAGCCGCGCCAGTGTCCAGGAGGAAGTCAATTTCCTGGACCTCGATGGTTATACGTACCCGGGGCTAAGTGAGGGTGATGACATGAGCTGGCACTTGCCCCAGGCACCCTCAGTCCTATTGTTGGATCATCTGGTTGGGGGCTTCTGGCCCAGAGAACTATTGCACTCTGGGGCAGTGTGCCTTCCAGTGATTGCCTCAGCATAGCGGACATGGACGAGGGGGTGGCTTGTTTCTTGTTGGACAATCTTTTTTAAAGTGTCCTTGTAAACCACACTGATAACAAACCCTACTGGGTGATTGGCCTGCTCCATTTTCTGTTCTCTCTGAACCACCAAGGTTTGTTTGTCTGAGCGCCATGACTAAGGCTGCGGCCTTTCTCTGATCTCACTTTTCCTTTTGGGCCTGTTCCTCTTGGTCCCTATTATAGAACACCAAGGTTACCAGATTTAATAATGTCTCCACATTTTGTTCAGGGCCCAGGGCTTGCTTTTGGAGCTTTCTCCTGGTATCTGCAGCTGATCGGGTAATAAACTTATCTTTTAGAATCAACTGACCCTCAAGTGAGTCAGATGACAGTGGAGTATATTTTCTTAAGGCCTCCTGTAGCTGCTTGAGGAAGGCAGAAGGATTTTCTTCCTTTCCCTGAGTTATGGTGGACATCATTGAATAATTCATGGGCTTTTTCCTAATTCTCCTTAGTCCTTCTAGAACACAGGTCAGCAGATGTTTATGACTGCAGTCCCCATGATCTGAGTCGAGGTCCCAGTGGGGATCCATACTGGGGATGGCTTGCTGACTGGTAGGGAATTTGTTCCTTTCTTTGGCTGTCATTCTATCATTTACTTGACTAAGATACCAGGTATCTCCAAACTCTCAGGCTGTAGCTAAAGCCACATTCTTTTCATTAAAGGCCAGGGTTTGATCTAATAATAGCATGACATCTCTCCAAGTGAGATTGAAGGTTTGCCCTAGACCCTGTAGGACATCTATGTACCTGTCAGGATCATCTGAAAACTTCTGCAGGTTTGCCTTGATCTGCTTTAAATCAGAGAGGGAGAAGGGGACATGTACCTGGGTTGGGCCAAATTCCCCTCCCTCTACAGCTTGAAGGGGACACAACTGATAGCCCAGGGGTTTTTGTGGTCCCTTGGAGATTTCTTTGCTTATTTCCTTCTGGGCAGGGGAGATTAGAGGAGGCTTACCATTAATAGGAAGGGAACTATAGGGAGGCTAGGATATGGGGGTAAGCTGAAAGGTCCTCCTGTGGGATGTAAATTACAAGCTTTGCATAGTTGTGTATTCTTCAATGAAAAGAAAGCTTGGACATAAGGCATTTCACTCCATTTGCCTTCCCTCTTACAGAAAAGGTCAAGCTGAAGGATAGTATTGTAATGTATACTTCCCTCAGGTGGCCATTTTTCCCCATAAGAGAGAGAAAACTGGGACCAAGCCATAGTGCAGAAAAAAAATGAGCCACCTCTTTTTCAGGGTTTGCGGGTCAAATTGGTCCCAATGGCCTAGGCATTTCAAGGGTGAGCCTGTTGATGCCTGAGTGTTTCCCATCTGAAAGACAAAATTGCCCGCAGTTTTGGTTTGTTTGTTTCTCCCCCTGCCCGAGAACCTACAACAGTCCCTGGACCCTGCTGATCAGAATAGTTGCGCTCACTGATGCAGAAGCAGAAACACCTCTTGCCAAAGAACTCACAACAGTCCCTGGACCCTGCTGATCGGAATAGTTGCACTCACTGATGCAGCAGCAGAAACACCTCTTGCCAAAGAACTCACAACAGTCCCTGGACCCTGCTGATCAGAATAGTTGTGCTCACCGACACAGCAGCAGAAACACTAGTTTTCCTCCTAGACCACAAGGAGGACTGAGGCAGGTCGGATTTAGTGGTCCTTACTGATGCATTCTCGAAAACCTGCACCCTTGCCTATCCTCCTAGACCACAAAGAGGACTGAGAAAAATCAGATTTAGTGGCCATTACCAATGTATTCTCGAAAACCTGTTAGAGTACTAGGCATTCTCCTGTTAGTATTGGGACTTTAGCCCTGTCCTATAAAGATGTTATGCCCCAAAATTGAAGTGGAGGGCCATACCCTGACGGAGGGGAGGGATCTCCGGAGTTGGAAGAGTGAAGCATTTTGTCCTCACTGTCCTCACTTGTATGAATAGGCAAGATACAATTGCTGAGGCTCCCCATATCCTAGCTTCAGGAATAGCTTTTGTTAGGCCTGCTTGTCTGAGGAGGGATCCTAAAATTCCAGATAGTCACCCCATGATGGGGCTTTGGGCAAAAATTATGTCTTTCTGATTGGTGAGCCGAGGTGCCTAAAGAAGGTAACAGAGTCCTGGAGTTTATACTAGAAATCACTCTTATAGGAGAAACTAGAAAAGCACCAGAGACAGGGAGTGGTTTTTAGAAGTGGGACTAGCCTCGGAGAAGAGAGGAGAGAAGAAGTTTGTCTGATAGGCATTAGGACCCAGGAGGCAAGGGTTAGGATAGATAGGATAGATGGACAAGTCTCGCTTGGGTGACATGACTTTGAGAGTTCTGCTCATGGCTGCAGGGTCAACCAACTTGTTGTCGGGACCCCAGAGCCGAGTGGCTTTCCCCTTTGTCGACCCTTGGCTTAGCCCAGAAGTACAGGAAAAGTGGAAGCTGGTTCCAGGCAAGCCAATGCTCCCAACTCGAAGAGTTGGGGTTTATTAGAGAGCCCTTTCCCAGAAAGCCTGACATCCATGTCTTTAGTCCGGCGGCCGCGCTAGTCACTTTTAACTGGCCGACAGGTGCCCGGTATTCAGCCCCCACATTCTAAGGAAAAATAGGACAGAATAGCAAGTGAAAGGGTTCCGGTGGTACTCACCACTTGGCAATAGGCGATGGTCCCTTCGTGGTTGCCAAAATGTGTCCAGAATTGGTTCCTTCCGGTGGGTTCTTGGTCTCACTGACTTCAAGAATGAAGCCGCAGACCCGTGCAGTGAGTGTTACAGTTCTTAAAGATGGTGTGTCCGGAGTTTCTTCCTTCAGATGTTCAGATGTGTCTGGAGTTTCTTCCTTCTGGTTGGTTCATGATCTTGCTGACTTCAGGAGTGAAGCTGCAGACCTTCACAGTGAGTGTTACAGCTCTTAAAGGTGGTGCGTCCGGAGTTGTTTTTTCCTCCCTGTGGGTTCGTGGTCTCGCTGGCTTCAGGAGTGAAGCTGCAGACCTTCGCGGTGAGTGTTACAACTCATAAAAGTAGTGCAAACCCAAAGCATGAGCAGCAGCAAGATTTATTGCAAAGAGCAAAGAACAAAGCTTCCACAGTGTGGAAGGGGACCTGAGTGGGTTGCCGCTGCTGGCTCGGGTGGCCAGCTTTTATTCCCTAATTTGGCCCTGCCAATGTCCTGCTGATTGGTCCATTTTACAGAGTGCTGATTGGTCTATTTTACAGAGTGCTGATTGGTGCGTTTTTACAGAGTGCTGATCAGTGCATTTGCAAACCGTTAGCTAGACACAGAGCGCTGATTGGTGCATTTACAAACCTTTAGCTAGACACAGAGCACTGATTGGTGCGTTTACAATCCTTTAGCTAGACAGAAAAGTTCTCCAAGTCCCCACCTGACCCAGAAGCTCAGCCGGCTTCACCTCTCATTGCCAACTAGGCCATGGCCAGTACACTGTCTGACAATTTACAGAGTGTTTGGTCCCTTCAGCCAGAATGCTGTGCAAGACTGCCTCAGAACAAGAGGCTCATTGTATTCCAAAGGAGATGCAGCAGTGGTACCATGATCCACTAATCTTAGTATATTTCCCACCCTCCATATGCTTCCAACCTGATAGACTGGTGAAATCGCCTCTTGGAAGTTCAGCTCAGTCACTGGATTGAATATATTACCTTGGAAGGTTGGGGAGCCCAACATACACTAAATCTGTAACCATAATATGGGATGGTCCCAGTACATAGAATAATTGGCAGGCAAGAGCTAGAAATGGAAAGGGCCTCACTTAAAATGACTCCTAGTGACCCACATGGGGAATTTGTTTTCTAACCCAACAATTTTGAGGCTGTAGAATTCTGGAGGCCTTGCTTTGCAGAAAGAAACCATTTCCATCTCAGGACGCAGGACATTAAGGCATAGCCACCACCAGGTCATCTCAGGCTCCTTATGCCAAGAGACCAGCAGTCAAGGAAAGGAGTCACATTATTGTCAAGGTTAATTATTTCTTATCTTTGGTGGGAGGTGGAGCTGCTACTACACAATGGGAACAGGGGAAAATAGGTTTGGTTCGCAGGTGATCCATCTGGGGCTTCTTCTGGTCCTCATGTCTGGCTTTAACTGTCAGTGGACACAGAAGGGAGCCGAAGCCTGGGAGGGTCACACTGTCTAGAACTCAGACCTTCAGGGCATGAAGATGAGAATATCTCAACAAGCAAGACATGTAGACCAGCAGAAGTGCTACTACAGGTTAAGTACGGTGGAGGAGGGTGATAAAGAATGTCAATGTTAACCTCGAGATCAACTGCAGCAGTTGTATGGTGGCAGTACATCTCAGGGTGCCATTGTCCCCACTCACCCTTCTCCACTAAGTTTCCCAGGAAACAAGGCTGACCAGAATCCTGGAGGAACAGTTTCCAGATGGTGTTAATTTACTATATGAAGCAAGCGGATCTGAGTGGCACAATGGGTGGACTATGATGGATACTGTCATGTTTCACTCAGACCCAGCCCCCATCCTTCAGTTGCTGGGAATATTGGTCGTGGATGGCTGACACCTGAGGGCCTCTTTGGGAATTCTCCTTGGTCATAGGAAATTTTCTCATCCAAATTGTGCCCTTCTCATAGGGCAACTCATAGCTGATGACTAATGTGGAAACACAAAGACCTGCTCCCCTTGCCTTATTTCGGGACAATATGAAGGGCCACTCTAACTCTACATCATCAGCAAAGGCCTTGTGGGTCAGGTTCTCCTTCTGCTCAGTTCTACCTTCTTCCCTTCATGACAGGTACAGCTCTCATAATCTCTCCTCAAGAGACCTCCTGCATTCGACTTTGCCTCTGAGAAGACAATTACATAGTAGGAGAGAGCTCAACATTTCTGTGGCTTATGTTTACCTTGCTATTCTAATCAGCATCATGTTCCCAGATTTTTGTCCCGTTTGAATAAGAGTGCTTCAGTAAATTTTATATTCACTAAATTTTACATGCTTTGGAATTTAAAATTTAAATCTTAAATATAATTTTAGGCTTAGATTTTAAGATTTACTGATGTATACTTTGATAAATGCATATGTAAAAAACATGAAAGATCGAGAAACTAATGAGTTACATTTAAAAATAAGAGATTTGCTGTTATTTATATATATCGGAGCCCCAGGTGAAAAAAAATAGCACCTTTGTTGAAATATAGGAGTACATACACGGAATTAAATTAACAAAGGATTTTGCAAATTATGATGATATTTTTGTTTCAGGGTGAAATTCTAGAATTATCACACCAGTTATAGCTTCTTTATGTTGATTTCATGATATGTTTTAAAAACTCATTTTCTTAAATATGCAGGTAAATTATAAAAATACTATTTAAATATAACTTTGAAGATGCCAAACTATTTATGGAAATGGGACCATTATTTAAATATTTTACAGGGTATTTTTTATTATTATTATTTTAGTTAAGAAAGTAAAAACTTCCTTGAGATCTTCCATCCACAGTAAATTCACAGCAAAATAGGTCAGCTTCTCATTACTTCTCTTTCCTATCTTGATCATAATTTCTGACATTCTAGTTCAGTTCTATGAGGTGCATGATCTATGATTCCTTTGAAAATGTGGCTTAAAGGTTAGGTATGTTTGCCCAGAGGAAAGGGTTAGTCAAAGTAGACATCATGGAAGGTCAATTTCCAGAAACATCCTGCAGTGCTTGGCTATTCATGGATGTTTGAACGTGTGAGCACACATATATTGATACAGAGACTCAAAAATTACTGAGAAAGAATTTAATTAGCTCTTTAATTTCTAGATTTCCTCAGAGCTATCAACACAAATTACTTTTTATAATAGGTGACTAAATAAAACAACTCAGGATTAAATTGGAAAGCAAAATAATTAATATATTATGTATTTTGTTGCATTAAATTATGAAGACATATTTTTCTCTATTTTGGGTCTTTAGAAGTCTTAAAAGAAGATATGGATTAATAATTACTAAAAGTTCTCTTGACATAATTGGAAGGATTTAAATCTTATTTCTATAGCAAGGACACCTCCTTGTAAGAAACTAGAAGAGAGTGGAATTCAAATTATTTCCATTATTTGTTTAGAAAATGCTGCCATCATGGTTATTAATAATAATGGTGGTGACAAAAATCAGAATAATTCTATTTGGCTAATATTAACTGAGCACTTACTGTGAGACAAATATTATGCTAATAGCTTTACATGTATTCTGTTTTCATTTCTTTCTTTTTTTTTTTTTTTTGAGATAGGGTTTCGCTCTGTCACACAGGCAAGAGGGTAGTGGTGCAATCACAGCTCACTGCAGCCTTGAATTCCTGGCTCAAGCAATCCTTCCAGGTCAACCTCATGAATAGTTGGGATTACATACATGGGCCACCATGCCTGGCTAATATTTGTATGTTTTGCAGAGATGGGGTTTCACCATGTGGCCCAGGCTAGTCTCCAACTACTGGCCCCAAGTGATCCTTCCACCAGGGCCTCCCAAAGTGCTGGGATTACAGGCAAGAGCCACCACACCTGGGCTCCTTTACATTTCTCCATGAACCTTTAAAATAGGTATAATCGGCTGGGCTCAGTGGCTCAGGCCTGTAATCCCAGCACTTTGGGAGGCCGAGGCAGGTGGATCACAGGGTCAGGAGTTGGAGACCAGCTTGGCCAAGATGGTGAAACCCTATCTCTACTAAAAATACAAAAAAATTAGCCAGGCAGTGGCAGGTGCCTGTAATTCCAGCTACTCAGGAGGCAGACGCAGGAGAATCGCTTGAACCTGGGAGGCAGAGGTTGCAGTGAGCAGAGATCGCGCCACTGCACTCCAGCATGGGTGACAGAGGGAGACTCCATCTCAAAAAAAAAGGTATTATCTTCTTCTTATTATTAAAATTATTATTTTAGAGAAGTTAAGTACTTTACTCAGGTTTCTATAGCTACTTTGTGATGGGGTTAATATTCAAACCCAGTTCCATCTGATTTTAAAAATTTATACTTTTAAAACTCTGCTATACATTTTTCTTTTGACACTGTATTCATCAAATAGATATGTATATGTCATATATGTACATATTACGTATACTGCTAAATACAGCTCATTCTTTATGCTATGTGCATTTTCAATTCAAATCAATTCAGTTGAGCTATGCCTTCCTGAGCAGTACTATGAGTACCATTACTCCAGACACTGACAGCATAGCGGGGCTGCTACCCTTCGACTTCTTGTCAACACTCAATTATTGCTTTTTCCTCATTTGTCTTCATTTTCATTTTAATCTGAGTTATATCTGAATTACACTGTTATGTCAGGATAAGATGTCAGACCCATATTGTATTTGACAGATGTCCACATTTTGCTAGAAAAAGCAAAATTAAACTTGATCCCACAAGAAAGTCTGAGTGTTAGAGTTTATTCTACACAAAATAAATTTATCAACCTCCTGTTTGAACTCATATAGACTGCGTATATTTTTCTCTTTCTACTGTTTTCAACATATCTGATATTGTCAATGGTTTGGGTTGCATTTCTAAATTTGGACTCCTTACTGCCAAACACCTGTTTATCTAATAGATACAATCCAAACTATGGTTTCAGGAAGGAAACAAAGAAGAGATCAAGCTATGTCCTTTGTTTCTTGATTTCGATGTCTGAGCTACTTATAGATGCTGTTAGAATGATAATGTGATTCTTTTCACTGAACTGTATTTTCCATTGCCTGCAATGGTGACTACACAATGAAAAACTAATTTTATGATTCAAAAGTACTTTCTTTGACTAGTTAGTGACCTCTCAGCTTCGTATAATAAGCAGTTCTTTAAAAGTGGCATGTGCCTTCCTGGGAATCTGACATATTCTCTTGTTTGATCCTCATAATAATTTGAAGTGGTAGACAGTATAATCTCTTGTTTTTGTAGAAGGCATTTGAGGCCCAGGGACTAGATAATTTATGAAATATCACAAAACTGTAGATAGAAGAGCAAAAATTTAAGCCGGAATCTCTGCTGTCAGCCTGTACATAGCCCTGCCTTCCTTCGTCCTTCAGTGTGGGCAGCCTTATGTGTCTGGGAGGCTCCTGATGGCATGCTTCTGGCTAAGCTGTGAAGTTATTTTTCTTTTTTTTCTTATACTGTTCTGTTTACGCATTATCACACAGCTCATCAATGTAATTGTTTTCAAAGCTAACTGCTTTTACATTATTGTTCCAATTATTAATAAAACTCCCATTATGCATAAAGTGTTTAGCTATTTTCACTTATGAAGTGCTTTGTAAACATTTTAACTAATTAGGCCAGGCAAATACCAGCAAGGTAAATGTTCTCCTTCTTTCTAACAGACTAGCTGCAAAGCTAAGTCACTTCCCGAAGCCAGAAGGTAAGCTGTGATAATAACTGTGACAAAAGTCATCCATTTCTGCTTCCCGCTTTGCTATTGTTGTTAAGTCAGGGACAATTGTTGTCCTTAGTTTTCGTACATCTTAATTATCATAAAGCACTGCCCCTATATTTATTCATTTTTGACTCTAAGAAAATTTCTCTTGGAAAAATAACTGCATTCAAATATTGCACCCAGTATTTACTAGGGAATGTTAAGGAAAATGTTATTTTCAGATGGCAAAATTAACATTCTAAAACAGACACATACAACACACATTGAATTTCAAAAAATATATTTGCGAAAAGGCAAACAGACTTTGGCATCCTTTGCTTCAAGTGGTGAAGTTTGCTTTCAATTTTCTTTTTATACTGTGTGATAAGTTTCATCGTTCCCTGCCCCCTCCAAAGCTTCTCTCTCCCATTCAGAGACTGTCATTGGAAATAACAGCCTAAAGAGTTTGGAGTCTCTTTGGATTCCTTCAACATACTTCAATCGCTGTTTTCTCATTAGAACATTTATACTTTTGTGCCTCAGTGGGAATGATCAATTATTTCAATGTCAGTAGTGGTAATATTACCCCTAAGATTTAGCAATTTTCAAAGATCTTTTAACTTAATTAGAGGCATTTGTTGTAAATTGAATTAAACCTGTTAAAAGTGCAATTTGTTATATTAAAAATATAATAGCCATGTTGACCAAGGAGACACAATTTTAAGGGGAAATGTCCAGTTTAAAAATGTCAACATCATAATAAAGTTGTGAAGTTTTTCTTTTCATCAGGTTTTCTAAAAGTTGAGAGAACGGATAACAATTTTATCCAGAACATTTTGGCAAATATATATGTACAGATCCCTATGTAAGAAGATACACATTTCACAGAAATACTTGAAATTAAGACAAAAACAATAAAAGATTGGAGCATTTTAATACTTTTGTTAAAAAATGAAACTGATGTCATTTATAATTAATATGTTAATATTTATCTAATATCAACACACGATTATAGTATTGTCATAACTTATTTTTGATTAATGCTCCTTCTTTCCAAATAAGTGCTTCCTTATCTTGATGTATTTTACCTCATTTTCTTTTAAACATGGTGTCACAATGAACTTGCCCAAAGAGGGTCATACGAGCCGCATCACATAATGATATCCTGTTGTACCTTTCTTCAGAAGCCATTTAGAAAATCCCAATGGTGGCTTTCAAATTTCTTAGGTACCAAGCACGTACATTGGCATGGGCTTTATGAATATTGAAATGGTAAATTATAGGAATAGGCAGAAGCAGATCATAGTTTTAACTGAAGCCGTTTGGAAACCCACTTATTCTAAAAATGTATTCATTTAGTACATGTTCATTTTCAAGCACCTGCAATGCAGGAGGCATGGTGCTAGCACCTGGGAACATAGCAGTGAGCAAGACAGACAGTTCCTGCCTTCACAGAGCAGAGTCACTACCTCATGAACATCAGTTTGCATTTTAACTGAGTTCTGTGTGTATGTGAGTGGGTTGTATACCTCCTTCCTGCCATCCCTACCAACCCCCATGTAGTTAAATGCGGCATGAGTTGTCGAAATGCACAGGTTTTGGCATCAGACAAAAATCACGTTTAAATCTAGCTTCTGGTCTTGATCTGTCTCTTAATAGCTGAATGATCTAAAGCAAGTAAATTGAACTTTCTTAGTTGTTTCCTCATCTGTAAAATGAGTACAGTGCCACATGTCCTCCAAACTGTCCCTGTAAATTAGATATATTTATGAAAAGCTCCCAGTGCATAGTGTATTCAATGCATAATAGCTGCTATTATTACATCAGTAGTATTGTCTATATCAAATACTCTCTCTCAGCTTAAAAACTCTTATTCATAAACTTTTTCGGAGAAGTGAGTGGAGGTGCGTTCTTTCCTGATTAAGTGGGTTTTCAGCCATCAGGCAGCATATGGAAAAAGAATCGCTTCAAGGGGTGCTGGAGTGTCAATTGCTCCAGCAATATAGTAAATTCCATCAGAAGAGAAAATGTATATCATACTAGTCACCAACAGTTTTATAATTTTTTAAATTTCAGGTAATTTTCACACCATTCTGATTGCTTCTTGTGATCATGCATATGGCTTCAAATTGTATTTCCAGTCCTGACATCTCTTAAACTCCACTTCCATAAGTAAAACTGACAATTGGGAAAATTCTCTGGGATATTCCACTGCCATTTTCTATAAGAAGGTCAATATGAGCTTATCTTTTTCCTCATCTTCTCCAGCCCCCAACCAATGATGTTTTTCTAATATGTCCTCTATTCAGTCACCATTGGGTAAGCTACCAGAACCAGAAACTTTGGAACCCTTTCTGAATCTTTTCTTTCCGCTCTCATATTCAGTCTCCACATCCTGTCCATAGTAGTCAGACTTCTCTGGAGTACACTCCCTTATCTCTGTTCTAACACCAGTTGAATTCTCTTTTCTTCAAAAGCACTGCTGTTCACGTTTGGGACTGTTAGGGATTAAATTGTGTTCCCTGCCCCACCCCCGTAAAAAAAAAAAAAAAAAAAAAAAAATATATATATATATATATATATATATATATATATATATATATATATATATATATATATGTTGAAGTCCTAACCCACATTATCTCAGAATGTGACCTTATCTGGAAATAGAGTCATTGTGAATGTAAGTTAAGATGAGGCCATACTGGAGTAGGGTGGGCCCTTTATCCAATATGGCTGGTGCTCTTATGTGTGGGGACACAGACATGCAGAGGAAGACAGCCATGTGAAGACTGAAGCAGAAATTAGTGGTATGCTGCTATAAGCCAAGGAGTGCTGGGGGCTACCAGAAGCTGGAGGAAGCAAGGAAGAATCCTCCCCAAGAAGCTTTGAAGGGACCATCGCCCTACCAGCACTTTGACTTAAGACTTCTAGCCTCCAGAACTGTGAGAGAATAAATTTCCGTTGTTTGAAGCCACTCATGCTGTGGTTACAGCAGCCCTAAGAAACTAACATGGGGACAAAAGAGTTCTTCCTTGTCTGAGACTTCCATTCTTATTTCAGGAAACTTAGTGTCTTAGCCAACTTTCATGTTACTGTGACAACAAGGAACACCCACAACCACATGTCTGAAGACTCCGGAGTTCTGCCCCTGGTCGGGCATTACTGATAAATCATTGATGTAGGTCACCATGCTTTCTGTCCTTTAGTATGGACCCTCCCAAACCTTTATTTATTCTTCAGCCAGAGCAATGTTTCAAAAATACAAGCATAATATTCCTCCCCATCCCCAAGGGAAGAAAAATTCAGTCTGCTGATGGTGTTGGGACAATGTCCAAACTCCTTTATATGGCATAAACTGGCCAGGTCTCTTCCCAGTAGTTCCCACCTACCTCTCCAGCTTCACATTCTGGAACCATCTTCTCCTACTTGGACTTTCACCAGCCAGTTCCATTTATTTTCAGTTTTAGAGACAGGACTTTTTCTTCTGAAAGCTGCATAGTGTTGGAATGCCTTCCCAGTTTTCCTACCCATTTGTCTAATTCCTCTTTACCTTATAAAGCTCATAAGAGAAGTCTTCTCTGGCTAAGTTGGAGATAGGTCTATTCTATATGTTTTTTCATAGTATTCAGTACAACACTAAAGCACTTATCACTGGATTTTAGCTCTGTGTTTTATTTTTCTACACTCATCTGTCTCTACAAATGGATGAAAAATTCTGTGGGTGAGTGGGGGTGTTATTCAATGGTGGGAATCAAATGGTGGGAATTCACAGCTCATCTATATTAGCAATCTCTTGCTGCTGGAACAAATGACTACCAACTTGTGACTTAAAGCAACACACATTTGTTATTTTACAATTCTGGACATCAGAAGTCTGCAGTGTGTCCCATTGGGCTAAAGTCAAGGTGTCAGCAGGACTGCCTTCTTTCTGGAGCCTCCAGAGGATGCTCAGTTTCCTTGCCTTTTCCAGCCTCTAGAGTCTGTCTTCAGGCCTCAGATCATCTCCATGTTCAAAGACAACCAATTTGCACCATCCTTCTCACACTACCCTTTTTCTGGCTCTTTCTTGTGTTTTCACTCTGTCTCTTCTGCTTCCTTCTTCCATTTTTTTTTAAAGAACCTTTGTGATTACATTGGGCTTGGCTGAATATTCCAGAATGCTTTTCATATTTTAAGCCCAGCAGTTAGCAACTTTAATTCCATCTGCTACTTAATTTCCCTTTGCCATATAATTTCACATAATCACAGATTCCAGGAATTAAGGCACAGACTATATGGGGGCCATTATTCTGCCAACTTCACTATCATAAAGCCTGATATTCATTTACTGATAATCTGTTGAATAAGTTATACCCAATTCAACCGGCTTCTACAAAGGAAGAAATGCTTTCTTTACCTGGGTTCTAGATAAAGATGGCTCACTTTCAATCAGGCTAGAGTTTCTTGGTCATTGGGTTTCTTGCTAAAGTGATTCAGTAGCTGACTGATGAAGAGTCCTCACGAAAAAGCAGGCGACACTAGTTTAAAAATTCTTTGTTACCAGTAACTGTTACTTAGGCAAGTGACTTAACTTATTTAGGCTTTAGTTCAGCCTCCGGAGAAGGGAATGCTGAGGGAATATAATAAGGCCTTCTCCAACAGTGACATGATATGATGGATGCATGTTTCTTTGATATTTTCATGATAATGACTCCCTGAAAAGGTGACTATTAAGTCTTAGAAAGCCTCAGAAGTCACTGAGGATATCCATGCTCAAAAACTTGCTGATGAGTGGGATATGGTAGAAAAGAAAATAATAAGTACCTAAATAAAATAATTAGTTATAGATGATTATAATGAAAAAAGCACCTTAATTTTTTAAAAATGCTACAACCAGAGTATGTTTGGTTATGCCAAAAGAAAGGAATATGGAAATTTTTAGTGCCATCTATTGGTAGTGATTTTTAAATAAGAATTATTATGCATAATTGATGAGTGGTGGCTCTTTGTTTTATCCAAATTCCTAATTCCTAAGGATTCTTGTTAACTGTGGAAGAGAGTAGTTTAAGAATGCATTCTCTTTTTTATGCATTCTCTTTTATTTTTTCCAAAGCAATTTTGGTCTTTTTTTATTATGATTACATGGATGGATCATAGAAATCTTGTTTGATTTCAGGTCTTTATTAGGAGTGGGCATGGAAGGTGGATATATGTGTGTCATTTGAAATGTGGCTAAAGTTCAGAGAAATAGGTTTCATTTAATAGCTGAATACTGGATGACCTTACCATTCTTCTCACCCTCTGGCAGCTCACCCTGTGAGCAACAGAGGAGATGTCCGCATGAACTGAGAAGTAGCTGCTGGCCTCAATGTGATTTTGCAGTGATCTGTGTGCTCTATGGCTTCCTTCATAACCAACAAATCAATTCCCACTATACATATTACACACCCCAGTGGCAGAGGCCATTTATTATCCTTTTGATGGTCATACTCTTTGTACATAACCAAGAAAGATTACAGAGGAAGGCAAAGAACAGTTGCAATATGGATGAAGACATTCCACAATGACACTGCATTTTATCATGTGCCTTGCATATCTATAAGGATACAAAAGATGTTCTCTTTCAAGACAGTTTTGAAACATGGAAGCAAAATTCTTTTTAATGAAAAATATTTCAAGAATTATAAGTGAAGAGAAAGTTGTAGAGATAATTCTACAACAATTCTAAATTGTATACATTTAGATTTCAAGGGCAAATTTGAAATGATTAAAAGACTGTCATATTTTGTTTCTGTGTGGGCATTGTTAATAACACTATACTTGACTAGTTTTGCTCAATTAGCTTTTGATATAGCCTTTTATTTGGCATCATTCAGTATCAACTGATTGTTTTGTTAATTTCTAATTTGCAGTATATAAATTTCTAAACTCTCAATTATCGATTCAGGGATTTTCCTGATTCTTTGAATCCACATATATCTAATAATAGTTACCATTATTAGATAAATCAAAATCAAATCCTGACTTGTAGTGACTAGGTATAAAATAATTGAATATTTTGAATTAGAGCTAAGTGGTTCCTAATGAAATTTTAGTGTTATTTGTCCTAAATCAAAAGTCTGGTAAAAAAAAAAAAAAAAGCACATATATCTTAATGTGCATAGGAAACATTTTATTAGTAAAACTAATGGTAAAAGACTCACTTTATAGTGGGTTCTGTGCATACGCCACTTAAACTGCTTAGTCATTTATGTCAATGGATATGAAAAGAACAGTGGAAATTTCCAAAGGTCAAAGAAGCTACTGTCTTTTCTGTTTTGCATCATTTGAGACTTTCCAGGTTTTTTTTTTTTTTTTTTTTCAAACAACACAATGCCAAATCTGCATTTGATTTTCCCTTCCCTTTGAAGAGGCAAAACAATGACAGAGTAATTAACCGAGGAGGAGATCATGTACAGGGTATTTTGCTTTAGCAGTGTGGAAAGTTCTGCATTTCATTTCACATGGTGGTAAATGGAGTGAGGTATTCTGAAATCCCTTCTACAAGAGAGTTAGCCCCTGACTACGTTACTGTATATAAACCAAACTTTCTTGGGGTCTGTTTCCTGTTTAACTGTTCCTCATTTTTGTAATGGAAAAGAATGCTCAATGCAAAGACTGCATCTTGCTTTCCATTAGGTGAGGGGCTACACCTTCATGGAGAAACACACAGAAGAACAACAAAAAGGAATTGTCAGTATCAGGTTTGGTGCCTCACTAGTTCTGTGCAGACCAAAAGGCTGTAGTCATGGTCTGGAATGCTAAGAGGGAATAGTAGATTTACTTGTTGTTTTTTCTTTCTTTCTTTTTTCCCCACTGTTGTTTTCATGATTTATCCTCTCTTCCCATGTTATGTCATCACATTTGATAATCTTCGGAGAGCAATGAGCTTTTGTATGTAACATCTTTTGAATATGTCCATGAATTCCATTTCTGTGCTGTCCCCAGCACTGCTCTGACTTGCTGTGGTTTGTCATTAAGTCACTGAACTGCTTAGTCTGTTACTAGTTTCTCCTTTGGTAACATGTTTATTATTAGGACTATTTTTCATTGAGGAATCTACTATCTCATTCTGGAAAATCTTTCTAGAATAAAATTAGGCATACTAATCCAGGAATTTACAGTCTAGTTATTATAAAGATCAATTACTGGTTTAATAAAACACGTGGTATATACCCATGCGATTTACTGCTTTAATTAAATAACAAATATTTGCATATCCATATATACCTTTAAAAATAAAAGGAATCATATCATCATTTAGATAGGTTTTCTACATTTCTTGGGCTCAATGGAAGCCCAGACTAGTTCAAAGTAGGACTGGGAAATATTAGAAAAGGAGAAAGAAAGAGAAGCAACAGAGTATGTGTTCATTGTTTTGTGAATGTACCACAGTGATAATGTGGTTCAAATTGTTTGATATCTGACCCTGAGGTCTGGGTGCTATTACAAACTTCTTTTTCCAAGTGAGGAAACTAAGGCATAGAGAATAATTATATCCAGGCTGTCAGCTCCCAGAGATTTTAGTCGCAACACTGTGGTAACTCTGTTGTATGCTACCTCCACAAATTGTTTGGACTGAGTAGAAAATGCTTTCTGATTGTTCAGTAATTTTCAGATGGCCTCTTCATCTTTTCTCTTGCAAAAACTATAATTTTAGAAACTTTGACATCTCTTGTCCTTAATGCCAAATATAGAGAAGAGATCAGAGCTGAATCAGAATACTTTGTATGAGATCCTTTTATATTTTGTTTCAACCAAAAATATCAGTATTGTGTTATGGAATGAAAAAGTTCTTAAGTTTTGGATTTGTATTCATAGATTTTTAGTGGCATACTGATAATTTCAATTTTTAAAATGAAAATTGATCTTTAAAAAGTCACATGCAAATAATTTAATCTTCATGTAGAGAGATCATTGTGGGTAAGTGAGATAAGCAGGAATGTATTTTAGATTTTAAAGATAAAAAGTAAATTTACCATTTACAATAATTTATTTTCATGTTTATTATAAAAAACTGTTCAATTATGGTAAAATCCTCATAACATAAAACTTACCATCTTAGCCATTTTTAAGTTACAGTTCAGTGGTAAGTACATTCCCGTTGTTGTGCAACAAATCTGACTTTTTTTATCTTGAAAAACTGAAATTCTATACTATTAGCAACTCCTCATTTCCCCTCTCCTGCACACCTGCCAACCACGATTCTACTTTCTGTTTCTATGATTTTGACTATTTCAGATACCTCCTCCTGTAAGTAAAATCATAAGTATGTGTTCTTTTGTGACTGGCTTATCTTTCTTAGCACAGTGTCCACAGGGTTCATCCATGTAGCATCCATGTTGTAGAATTTCCTTCTTTGTTAAAGCTGAGTAATATCCCATTGTATGTATATATATATATATATATATATATATATATATATATATATATATACACCACATTTTGTTTATCCATTCATCGACCAATGGACATTTATATTGTTTTCACATCTTGGCTATTGTGAATAATGCTGTTATAATCATGGGTACACAAATATCACTTCTGGACCCTGCTTTCAATTCTTTTGGATATATATCCAAAGGTGGAATTGCTGAATCATATAGTCATTCTATTTTTAATTTTTTGAGAACATACCATACTTTTTTCCATGGTGGTTGAACCATTTTACTTTCCTGCCAATAGTACACAAAGGTTTTAATTTCTTCACATCCTTCCAAACACTTATTGCACATGCGTGTGTGTCTGTGTGTGTGTGTTTATGGTAGGCATTTTAACAGATGTGAGGTGGCATTTCATTGTGGTTTTGATTTGCATTTCCCTAATTCATGTTTCTTTATGTTCTCCTATAATGTGAACCATCCACTATAGCTAAAAGGAACATAAATAGTTTTGAATCCTAAGTATTTATTTAGAAATAATTTTGTTCAGTTTTCCTTTCACAGTGTTTCATTGTTATTCTCAAAATATCTTACTTTTGGTTGTGCTTTAAGCCGAGATTTTATCTACTGTTTCTTTGTTTGTAGCTGTTCTTCAGTTGCTGATAGTAGATATGGAGACTTCTTCAAGCATCTCCATTTTGTGCTGGTATCAGCGTCTTCAGAACTTCAGTTATCTCAATGGCAAAGCCAGGGCTTCTGGTACATTATACTGCTGATGTTTTTTCTCTGGTTCCTGAGGCTCTACCTGCATTACTTGGGCCAGTGGCTTTTCCTCCAGGCCATTTCAACTCCTGTTACAAAGTGAGTGGTTTCCTCTGAAAGTCAAAGGAATATATTTTCATCTTAATAGGACAAATGAAAGTACAAAACACCTCTCCCATCAATTTACCGTACAACCTAAAATGCAGAGATTATTTGAAAAGACAAAAATGTCTTTATCTAAGCAAAAACTTCTATTACAGTTATAGTCTCACCTTATGGGCCTGTATATATAAGTACATAACTGGTACATCAATATTTATTTTAAATTTAGCAGATTCAAATATGTTCTAATATCTGAGCAGGTTCCAAAAAGGAATTTAGCAACAATGTTTTATTGTATTTTGATTTTATCATAGTGACTTAGGCTGAAGGTATTTTAGAAGTAAGGTAAGTGTGATTTATCACCTATTCACAGAGAAGCAAAGATTGCTTCTTCTGCAAAATGATTGAATTCAAACAATTACCAAACTCAAGCCCAGGCAGCTTTCTGGGCCATTATCCTCTGGAAAAAGATGACACTTTAAAGGTTATCTCTTTATAAACATGATTCCAAAGACACTGTAGATAGACACACAGATAGATATCAATACAAGTAAAATTCATTTTCTCAAATGTAGATGGTACAGATAAAAATAAAGTTGCGTGTATATTTTCAATTAGGAAGATTACAAAGAACAATATAAATATTTATATTTATACATACATATATAGTTATTGATATCTTTGAAAATTATAAAGGTCTGAATATATTATGGAATATGCAAATATATATATACTAAACTGTATTTTCAAGGGGGAATTTTTATCTGGATAGTCTCTTTGTTCCTCCTTTCTTTCATTCTCTTTTCTTAAGGTTTCCAAAGCAAAAAGAACAAATATGATATGCTTGGCCTAGTTGTTTTTTGCTTTTCACTCTTTTATTCTTCGATAGAAAAGGAAGCCCTATCTTTATTAGTTGTTAATAAAATGAGACTTCAAAATGTATCTTGACAGCCCAGTTGAACCAATTTCTTAAGCAACCGAGGACCTAAGATACAAAGGATATTTTTCTGGCTATTGTCTCAGTCTGCAGGCTTGGGTCATACAGTAGCTCTGTGTCACATCTTAGCTGTGAGCCATAGCAATAACAACACCAACAATGAGCATGTCTTCGGCTCTTGCTCTGGGACAGATACTATGCTAAGATATATACGTAAATGGCCAGGCGTGGTGGCTCACGCCTGTAATCCCAGCACTTTGGGAGGCCGAGGTGGGTGGATCACAAGGTCAGGAGATCGAGACCATCCTGGCTAACACGGTGAAACCCTGTCTCTCCTAAAAATAAAAATAAAAAATTAGCCGGGCGTGGTGGCGGGCACCTGTAGTCCCAGCTACTCGGGAGGCTGAGGCAGGAGAATGGCATGAACCTGGGAGGTAGAGCTTGCAGTGAGCCGAGATCGCGCCACTGCACTCCAGCCTGGGCGACAGAGCGAGACTCCGTTTCAAAAAAAAAAGAAGTGTACGTACATTACTTTATTTGATATTCACATAAGAACAAAACATAAAACTTTATTTGAAGCACAGGTCAAGGAGTGGATAAAACAAACAACTCCTTTTAGTAGATGGCGGATAAATAGAATGCACAAGCAGGATTAACTATGAAACAGCTTTACATAGGCTGAAATTCAGGGGAGGGAAAACTTCAAGTGAAATAAAGTCTCACTGCACAGAAAGACAGTGGCAAAGCTTGGGTTGAGGGTGCTTGAATGACTGGGTTCAGATTGGATCTAACCCTTGGGTTAGGTCCTTCAACTGTGTCTAGTTGACTCTTTTAGAACAACAAAGGAGTAAGATATTTTGGTTGTTAGCGGTGACAGTGTCATTTTTGTTGTATCTGGGAATCTTGTTACAAGAATCATGAGTAAAATTAATCCGTTATGCTAAAACTCTAAAGGATTATTAGATTTTACATCTAGTTCTCATTTCTGTTAAAGATTGACACAGTAGAAAGTTCACTGGTATATTTTGCATTTTAAATAGCCTGCTAAAATGTACCGTGTGAACTGCACAAATGCTCTTAGTCTTTAGAATGCTCTGTTCAGTGGCTCAAATTGATATACTTTCTATGGTGGCACAGAACACTTACAACAACAATAAACAGGACAGAGTTTGCCTTTTCCTGGAAAGCAACATGTTGAGGGGCTGGGAAAAGATGAAAACTTCTAACAATACATTTGGGGGTACTACTAAGTGTCAAGTTTTCTGTATTTAAGAAAAAGAAAACAAAACAGAGTTCTTTAAATTGGTTCGCACACTTGGCATTTGGTGCAGTTCCTCTTGTTTGCCCCTATATGATTGCCTTGTTTTCCCACAGATTCCATTTTTCTCTTCACATCGTTGAGCTTTGCTACCCAACTTCCTCACTTCACATTGGAGAAGAGCTTCCCGTGGTTGTGATGGGGCCTTTAATGCTGAATGCAATCCTGCTTCTTTTGGTTTTGATCAGATGGGGCTGTCAGCTACTCTTTGCCTCCTGTCCTGATGTCTTGTCAAAGTTAATCATTACCATGGGACTATGGACAATTCTGGACCCATTGGCAGTGTTTATACTGGATACTCTCCTGGGGGTAAGTCAAATGAAATAATCAGGATATGAGTCCTTGACATAGAGTTTAGCTTTAGTGGATGAATCATTTGACATGGAAAGTTTCAATCATAATGAACAATCAGTATGCATCTTAAATCGAAGTTAAGTTTCTTCTGATAAAAAAGTCATGGATGTCTAATATAATCAATTTAAGTGTAATTTTAACTCTCATAAATAAACACTTGAAAAATATGCCAGAAGTCATGTTGAAGATCAAATCCTAGCTAGCAGTCACATTTTTAACGTTATTACAAAGAAACTTTATTTTGTTATATTCTTTTGGTAACTTCTTTTAGGTAACTTTTTTAATATTAAGGATTTTCATAGGCAAATTTTGCAAAAAGGTAATTGTGCAGTAGTTCCTTTAATTGGTTAGGTTACTTACTGACTATGATGTAATACTCTCCTGCAAGAAATACAGTCAAGAATGAAAGCTTTTTAAACATTTCTAAGTAATAAATGTATTTTAAAAATTACCATATAGGCATTTATTTAGACTTTTTTAATGATATTGAAGTGACATGGTGCATTTTCACCTTAAAATATATATTTCTAGGATTTCATAATTATGAATGATGTATTAAGATACATAATGACATGTAAATAATGGCAATAACGATTCTAATATTTGAAGAGTGCTCTTGTATTTTTCAAGCATCTTCACACAATGTCTTTGATTACATATTTATGACAATCCTGTAAGTTGATGGGGTAAGTATTCTTCTCACTTTACAGCTGGGAGAAACCAGATACAGAATTACATGACTTATCTGAGGCCATATAGCCAGTTCACACTGCACCCAGGACTGGGACCCAGATTTCTGAATTCTGAGGATGATGTTTCTTCCATCATGTTAAAATCTCCACTTCAAGCTTTCAGGGAATATATTGCTTTGTGAAATCAAATGTATGCTATCCCTGATGATAATTTTTTGATTACCCCAAAATATTTAATTTACCAATGAATTTGGGGGCTATAATTTGAGGCAAAAATGATGTGGCTCTTAGTGTAAATTTATTACCATATCCAAATCTCTCGTTGCTTTGAATTCACAAGGCGTGGGATTTCCTAGAGAGTGGTACTAAAACATACTGATTCTCAAACCTTATATTGTATCAGAATCTATTATAGGCTATGGTAAAAACAGATTGCTGGGCCCCATCCCCAGAGTTCTTCCTCTGGTGGGTCTGAAGTAGAGCTCAAGAATTTGCATTTCTAACAAATTTACAGATGACAGTGATGTTGTTGGTCAGGGACCACAGTTTGAGAACCACTGACATTATAGCTGCATAGGAAAGCTCTGATGAGCCGACTAAGAAGATCTAGGAATAGCAACATAGGTTGGAAGAGGTAAGCTCCTGCATAGGGAGGGCTCAATGGGGCATCCGTTCCTAGGCAAGGCTAGGCAGGCTCAATGGGGGATCCTTTCCTATCCTGCCTATTAGCCATGGCCCCTGACCTGCAATTTAGCAACTTTATCCAAGCTCCACTTAAATTGCCAAATGCTTTAGATTAAATCATCAAAGCAAAATTAAAAATACTGGCAAACAGTGGAATAATTCAAGCCAAGAAACACTTTACCTTGAAGTCATCACATTTGTAAGCAATTTCAACAGGCAAAAGAAGAGACATCTGAATTTTAACTAAATTTCTATACTGTATGCCTGGCCATAAAATATCACTCCAAACAAGAGAGCAGAGCAGATAGATACTATAAATTAATCAATATGATCAAATATTTACTTATAAAATTATCTTTATGAAATAATATTCCACATTTGGATATTTTTCCTTTTAACAAGAAAAAGGAAAGTTTCACAACTGGAATGTATGTGTTTGGATTATATTCACTGTACCAAGCAAATCATAGAGATGGGTGTTTTGATGGTCTCTACTTGTTAACTGTGTTTAAAATTGATTCTTTTTTCAATAACATGCTTTTAGAACATTTGCATCCATGAAGATATCTCCCACCTTGGGTGCTATAGTAGACAGCTAAGGTCAGCAGAGCCTGTCACCATTTTTCACTCTCTCAGGCCATAGCATGCTATAGCAGTGTTTCTCAAACTAATGTGCTTTCAAGTTCCCAGGGGATCTTATTAAAATGCACATTCCTGTTCTCACTTATATGTGGGAGCTAAATAATGAGTACAAATGAACACAGAGAGTAGAATAATAGACCTCAGAGACTTAAAAAGGTGGGAGGATGGAGGATGGAAGGGGCGTGAGGGATGAGAAATTGGCATGAGGGATGAGAAATTGGCATGAGGGATGAGAAATTACCTAATGGATGCAGTGTACACTAGTTGGGTGACGGTTACATGAAAAGTCCCAGATTTCACCACTACACAACATATTCATGTAACAAATCTGCACTTATAGTCTCTAAATCTATAAAAATAAAAATATATTTTAAAATGCACTTTCTGAGTTGGCAGGTAGCGCCTAGGATTCTTCATTTCTGATAGACTCCTAGATGGTGCCAACAATGCTAGTTCCATGGACCACACTGTGAGTAACAAGGTGCTACACACTTTGCTGAGAAGGCCTTTCCTTTCATTTTCCTGCTTGCCAGGCTGGGCTTTCGCTCACTGAGGATAGCTGGGCTGCTCTTCATAAGACTGGAGTTCTCGAAGATTTAAGTGCACTAATGTCTTTGTAGATTTCATGTGAGAATTCTGACTGCTTATTCCTGAGTGGAAATGGCCTCTGCCAGAAATGCCCAGAACCTGCCAACAAGTGTGATTGTTGGCTCTAACCATGTAGACCATTTAACATTATTAAAATGAACTAAACCAGTGCACCGGAAGCCCACTGCTGTATCTAGTTTCTAGTCCCACTGTTAGGGATTAGCGAAAGAATCATGTGCCGAGGAAAGCTCCTCAGTACTTGAAGCGCAGACCACTGTGTGAAGCCTCCATGCCTTGTAGCACCTTGACAACATGGCAGAAGAGGGAGCCTTTTGAGTTAGAAGTGGCTGTGTTTCCTACCCCATCTCTAAATTTTTTTCACCCTGCCGATTAGCACCCTGCTGATTCTCAGTGAACTGAGCTGCAGCCAGCTGGATAACATCTACGTTCCTACCTCTCATTCTCCAGGATAATAAGGTGACTGTGGCATCGAGGATTGATGAGCAGGAGATGTAGAGAGAAATGCTGTCTGCATTCTGAGTGGACCACCTTGCAATTTCTCCCAGATGCCTGATGTGCATATTGAGTAGACAGGGTGCTGGGGCTGGGCCTACAGCCACATCACATGTGAAGACATTTGGGGAGGATGAACAGCTGTCCCTATGGTCCTCTGAGATCTCCTTAGAAGGATGTCTGCAGCTCTCTTGGAAGGACTTTTCTTGTTTCAGTTAGTTCCCTCAGGCAGATAAATAGAAGACCAGTCCACTGTATCCAAGGCAGCTGACAAAATGAGCAGAACTTAATTTACTCTGGACCTCTGATGTAATCTATAGGAAAGTAACCTCCAGCATGGCCGTCTCAGAACCACTTCAGAGGTCTGCAACCTGATAAAGGCTGACTTGGGTTCCAGTAGATGTGTAGAGCACCCTTTTTTCTCTCCACTTGAAAAAAAAGGCTAAATTGTTTTCCAAATGTTCACAAGTTATTGGGCAGTTTGAATCCATCATGTTTTATTGCAGATGACATCTAATTTTGCTATCTTTTAAAAACCTCTAAAGCTGTCTCTAATCCACAGATAGACAGCATTAGAACCCTCTGGGAACCTGTAAAAATGCACTTGGACATGGCCACCTTTTGATTTGAAACATACTAACATATTCTCCAGGTGACTTGACAGCATACTGAAGTTTCAGAAGTATTGATTTAAATCTATGGTTCTCAAAGTGTGGTCCCTGGACCAACAGCATTAACATCACCTGAGAACTTAATAGAAATGCAGAATCTTAGGCCCTGCACCAAATTTACTGAGCTAGAAACGTTGGGAAGTGGCCCATCAATGTGTATATTAACAAGCCTTCCAGGTGATTCTGATGTTCATTAATTCTTGAAAACTACTCTTCCACATGGGGTTGCAGTTATCATGGGTTGAATGTCACTCGGGAGTCTCAGGTTGCCTGAGTTCATACCTCCAGATCCTTCAGCACTTCTTTTTAGCAGACAAAGCTGAGTATCTTCTGGGTTTGATCCAGGTCACCCAGCTCAGAGAGATGCTGCCTAATTTTACTGATATTTTCTGTCCTGAATTCATTTCATTTATGGAGATCTAAAAGGAGATGTGGCAGATGAATTGGTTTGAGGCTGAAGTGCTGAATGGCTGTTGATGTTGCTAGTAATTCTTTCTTAGTCCTTCAGTTTGTTGGCTCAGGGGTTGGCAACGCATTGATGATACTATGCTCAACAATTTCATTAAGTGGATAGATTATTTCTCTGCCTGAGCCCTAATCTGGATAAAAAGTAGAGGAAAGATTTGCTACTGAATGTTTTAGTCCATCAGCACATATTTATTGACTATATACTCTTTACATAGGATTTTAAAAGATGCAGAATAAATATGGCATAATTTCTACCCTCAATATAAATAGTGAGATAAGAATAAAACATGTAAGCAAAGATGAAAGGTAGAATGCAAACACTGTCATTCAGCAAATGATTCTTGAGACTCCACAACTTATTCCCTTTTGTGCTGCTATAATAAAATACCTGAGACTGGTTAATTTATAATGAACAGGAATTATTGGCTCATGGTTATGGAGTCTGGGAAGTCTGAGATTGAGGAACTGACATCCTGCAAGTGTTGGAGGCCGCACAAATGTTTCTTATGATTAGGCATAATTGAAGCCGGTCAGTAACAATATGAACCTGTGATCAATTAAGCAGCTGACCAATCGCTACCTCCTCCTCCTTGCTCTTGTTATCCAATAAATACAAAGGGTTGTAGAAGCTCGGGGCTGTCTTTGCTCACTAGAAGCAGGGAGCTTTCTTCTTCCCCATGCTAGCTTTTCCTTAAAATAGTTTCTTTTGTTTTTTGTTATCATTTCTATGTTTGTCCCTTCGTTCAGTCTTGTAATGACAGTCTCAAGCAGTAACCATAGCAACTGCCGTAATGACAGTCTCAAGTAGTAACCGTGGCAGTCAGCCACATGCAAGGGCCTTCTTGCTGTGTCATCCCGTGGCAGCAGAGCAAAGAGAGGATGACAGATGGTAAGAATTCAATCTTGCAGCCTCAAGCCCTTTTATAATTGGCATTAATCCATTCATGAGGGTGGACCCTTCATGACCTAAACACCTCCCATTAGGCTCTACCTCCAAACACTGTTGCACTGGGATTAAGCTTCCAACACATGCTTTAGGGAGACCCATTCAAACCACAAACACTCCATTAGAAGCGACCATGGAGTAGCAGAAAGACCACGGGGTGGAGTCAGAGAGAGCTGGGCTCTGGTCCCAGCTCCGCTATTTGTCACCTATATGATGTTGGATAGGCCAGTTTACCTCTTTGGTCTTCAGTGACCTCATATGCATCATGAGAAAGTAGTAATACCTACAAATACAAAATACCTAACTTACTCTTTTTATAGTGTTGTTGGGAAGATCAAATAAGAGACTAACTGGGAATAAACCTTGAAACATACATATAATTATATATATAATATATATATTTAACATAAAAGGAATAAAGATGAGAGTGTTAGAATGAAATGATGATGCTGTGCTCTGTGAATGACACAAGATGTAACAGCCATTGCCCCAATGGTCCAGGCTAGAACTTACAATCTAGTTGGAGAATCAAAATACACACACACACACACACACACACACACACACACAGATGTAGTATGGGCAGTGTGTGATGAATGCCATTTGGGAGGCACCTGGCTCATTCTCTTATATCCTTAGGTCTTTTCTTAGAGGCCATCTTTTTAGTGACACCTATTCTGACAGCAATATTTAGTGATATACTTCTATCCTTCCTATACCTCTTCTGGTTTATATTTTTCTTTATAATACCATCTTATGATGTATCATATTCAGTAAACTACTTATTTTAATCTTGCATATGTGCTTACTATCATTCACCTACCCCCTTCTCACCTAAATGTAAGCTCCAAGAGGGTAGAGATTTTGTCTAATTGTATTCACTCTTTTATCTTCAGTTCCTAGTGACACATAATGGGCATTCAATACATGTGGGTCAAAGAAAATAATTAGAATATATTGGTTAGATTATGTGATTGTCATCAAATATATATATATCATTTTTTGTTTCATTAATGAATCTCAAGTCTATTTCATTACCTTTAAGGAACAGCAGAAAGGTACGATGTGGAATAGGAGAGACTCATGATGACTTTTACAATCTACTGCCAAAAGTCCTGGCAGCAGACACACAATTTTGCAAGGTCAACTGGTTAACAAGTACAGAGTATAGAAATAAAAGTTTTGAGATGGTGCTCAAAGAAGCAGTAGTTGAGAATTGGAACATCTCAATTCTACTCACTGCCCAATCACTAAAGTATATTTTGGTAGAGGGAAAATACAAATGAATCTGCTTAGGCTTCTGTTTTCATCTACATGTAAGTGATTTGGATAAGCCTTTTTAAAAAGTGTCTTTTCAACCTATATTTATCATCAGTTTAATCATCGATTTAAAGACTAAAGAAATTCTTCCTTCTCTATTGCATTGGAGAAAAGATACCTTACTTAACATTTATACTGCATATTACTTCCACTTGATATCAAAAGACTTATAATTAAAGAACATCCATATTTTATAAAACTCAAAGGTCAAAGATGTCATATGATGATACTGTAGGTCCTTACAAATGTATATACTTTTAAAAACCCCATCGTGTTGCTTTTTTATTTCTAATCCAATGTAGAATATGTCTTTCCTTGTCTAAAATAAGGACTTATTGTTAAATTAACCTAATGTAAACTTGGTTTTCAAACTCACATTAAGTAGCCTGATAACTTTTTTATAAGTTTCTAAAATAAGCCATCTCTTTTATGCATAGCACAAATTAAATTCCTATCAAATCTGCTTCAGAAAGAAAGGACTCTTTTCACCATCATATTTAATTTCTTCATGTCTTGTGCTCATTAAATTCAGAAGTTAATAGTACATAAATAAAACATGGCTTTTACTTTATGAATTGCATGTCGAGTGTGTGCATGTAAAGGCTTAGAGGGAAGATGAGAAAAACCTGGTAAAGTAGCATGCAAAACCCAGCCTTTTTTCTTTTCCTTTGTGCACCTGAAAAGCTGGCAATCTTCAGTACCTAGAAGATTTAATTCTAAAACAAATTATAGGGTCACATAGTCTTTGTATCTTTACATTCACCTAACTTGGTGATCAGTGTTCCCATTCTGAGTTTTTCAAATCTGAATTTGCTTTTGTCAGCGGCTTACAGATAATGAGGAGACTCCTGTGGCGGATGCCGCGAAGCTCTACTGGATGTTTGTAAGAACCGTGCAGCCAGGCATTCTTGGCGTGGTGATCACAGTGCTGCTTTACATCCTCCTGTTCGTCATTTCTTCTTTGATTTTATATTTATATTGTCTTAGGTAAGGTGCTTCAATCACTTTGTTCTTCAGTGTGTTCAGCCTCCAGTCTTCTTATTACACATTTAGGCTGTGAGGACATGGTTAAAGAAGAGAAGTTAGAACCATCTCTGCATTGCTAAGGTAAACATTTATTTGGTTACCTGTAACCCTTGTCCTGAAGACCAGCCAGGAAATTATTTGACTTTAGGAAAATATTTTCCCCATTATAGAGAGAGCTAATTTTGCTGTGAATTATTAACTTGCTTCTCCAACCCAGAGACCAGTAGCAAACAAAGAGTAATCTCTTGATATCTAATGACATTCTGAGAAATTTCCTGAAAAGTTTGTCTTAAATCCTCTTTTTCTTTTCCTTCCAACCTGCTTCTTCCAACACTTTCCACCTCTGTTAAAGTCACCAACAGAAAAATTATTCTTCAGCTTTGATCCTGAATATCATGGATTTGGCTTGCCAGGTCATCAATTTAGCAAACAATGTATGTTTATGATGAAAGAAAAGAGAAGGAATAAATACAAGGTAGTATAAAAGTACTAGGAGGACGTTTTATTCTGTTGATTATTTCCTTTGCTGTGTAGAAGCTTTTTAGTTTGATGTAGTCCCACTTGTCTATTTTCACTTTTACTTTCTGTACTTTTGGTGTCTTATCCATGAAATCATTGCCAAGATCAATGTCATGAAGATATTCCCCTATGTTTTCTTCTAGGAATTTTACAGTTTCAGATCTTTTGTTTAGGTATTTAATCCATTTTGAGTTGATTTTTGTATTAACAAATGGTGTAAGATAAAGTTCTATTCTCATTCTTTTGCATGTGAATATTCAGTTTTCCCAGTGCCATTTGTAGAAGAGACTGTCCTTTCCCCATTGTGTTTTCTTGGCATCCTTGTTGAAGATTAGTTCACTGTATATGTATAGATTTGTTTCTGGGCTCTCTAGTCTGTAACATTGGTCTATATCTGTCTTTATGCCAGTACCATTCTGTTTTAATTACTGCAGCATTGCAGTATATTCTAGCAATTCCACTTCTGGGTATTTACCCGAAAGAATTGAAATCAGAACTTCAAGGAGACTTTAGCATTCTGTGTTCATTGCCGCACTGTTCACAATAGGCAAGACATGGAAACAGCCTAAATATCCATCAGTTGATGAATATATTATGTGGTACATACATTCAATGGAATATTATCATAAAAAAGAAAGAAGTCCTGTGATATGTAACAATGTGAATACATGTGTATAAACCTTAAGGACATTATGCTAAGTGAAATAAGCCAGTCACATAGTGTCAAATACTGCATGATTCCACGTATATGAAGTATCTAAATAAGTCAGACTCATAGAAGCAGAAAGCAGAATGATGATTTCCAGGGGATGAGGAGAAGGGTAAATATGGAGTTGCCATTCAAAGGGTAAAAATTTTGATTACAAATGATGATTAAGTTCCAGAGATCTGCAGTACAACATTGGATGTATAGTTACCAATATTGTATTGTGCACTTAATATTTTGTTAAGAGAATAGATCTCATGTTAAGTGTTCTCACCACCATTTTTAGCAAAGTGCCAGAAAGAGATCAACACAGGGATCTCTAGGAGCATTGAGAAAAGGAAACAACACAGCTCTGGTGGAGGATGTGGGCAATAGGTGAAGATTTCAGTGGAAATATGATACTTAAGTAATCATTGAAGGCTTAATATCATTTAGCTAGATAAAAAACAGAGAGAAAGGTTTGCAGGCAATGGGAAGATATATAAAACCTTATGTCCTTCAAAAGTGTGATGTATTTGGCAAATCAAATGTATTTTGACATGGCTGGTGTGCAGGATATAGGGAGATGGCAGTTAGCGGAGTTAAAGTTGGAAATGTATTCAAGGACCAGATGATAAAAGACTTGACATCATGCTATGGAGTTTGACTTTGTTCTAATGGTAAAGTGAAAACATTAAAGGATTTAACATTAACATTTAACTTTAGGAAAATCACTCTGATAGTAGAAGAAAAGGTGGGTTTAACAGTGCCCAGGTTGGAAGTAGGAAAATCTAATTAGAAAGCCATTTGATAATCTAGGCAAGGAGTGTCAAAAATTTTAAAGAGAATATCACTAAACATGGGAAGCATATATTTAAGAAATAGTTTTCTGCATATGGCTAGCCAGTTTTCCCAGCACCATTTATTGAATAGGAGATTCTTTCCCCATTGCTTATTTTTGTCAGGTTTGTTGAAGATCAGATGGCTGTAGATGTGTGGTGTTATTTCTGAAGTCTCTGTTCTGTTCCATTGGTCTATATGTCTGTTTTGGTACCAGTACCATGCTGCTTTGATTACTGTAGCCTTGTAATATAGTTTCAAGTCAGGTAGCATGATGCCTTCAGCTTTGCTCTTTTTGCTTAGAATTGTCTTGGCTCTATGGGGTCTTCTTTGATTCCATATGAAATTTAAAGTCTTTTTTTCTAATTCTGTGAAGAATGTAAATGGTAGTTTGATGGGAATAGCATTAAATCTATACGTTACTTTGAGCAGTATGGGCATTTCCATGATATTGATTCTTTCTGTCCATGAGGATGGAATGTTTTTCCATTTGTTTGTGTCCTCTCTTATTTCCTTGAGCAGTGGTTTGTAGTTCCCCTTGAAGAGGTCCTTCACATCCCTTGTTAGCAGTATTCCTAGGTATTTTATTCTCTTTCTAGCAATTGTGAATGGGATTTTGTTATGATTTGGCTCTCTGCTTGTCTATTGTTGGTGTAAAGGAATGCTTGTGATTTTTGCACGTTGTTTTCATATCCTGAGACTTTGCTGAAGCTGGTTATCAGTTTAAGTTTTTGGGTTAAGACAATGGGGCTTTCTAAATACAAAGTCATGTCATCTGCAAACAGAGACAATTTGACTTCCCCTTTTCCTATTTGAATACCCTTTATTTCTTTCTCTTGCCTGATTGCCCTGGCCAGAACTTCCAATACTATGTTGAATAGGAGTGGTGAGAGAGGGCATCCTTGTCTTGTACTGGTTTTCAAAGGGAATGCTTCCAGCTTTTGCCCATTCAATATGATATTGGCTGTGGGTTTGTCATAAATAGCTCTTATTATTTTGAGATATGTTCCATCAATACCTAGTTTATTGAGAGTTTTTAACATGAAGGCATGTTGAATTTTATCAAAGGCATTTTCTGCATCTATTGAGATAATCATGTGATTTTTGTCTTTGGTTTTGTTTATGGATTATGTTTATTGATTTGCATATGTTGAACCAGCCTCCCATCCCAGGGATGAAGCTGATTGATTATAGTGGATAAGTTTTTTAATGCGCTGCCAGATTCAGTTTGCCAGTATTTTACTGAGGATTTTTGCATCAATGTTCATCAGGGATATTGGCCTGAAGTTTCCTTTTTTTTTGTTTTGTCTCTTCCCGGTTATGGTATTAGGATGATGCTAGTTCATAAAATGAGTTAGGGAGGAGTCCCTCCTTTTCAATTGTTTGGAATATTTTCAGAAGGAATGGTACCAGCTCCTCTTTGTATTTCAGCTAGAATTCAGCTGTGAATCTGTCTGGTCCTGGGCTTTTATTGGTTGGTAGGCTACTAATTACTGCCTCAATTTCAGAACTTGTTTTTGATCTATTTTGGGATTCAACTTCTTCCTTACACCTTATACAAAAATTAACTCAAGATGGATTAAAGACTTAAATGTAAAAGCCAAAACCATAAAAACCCTAGAAGAAAACCTAGGCAATACAATTCAGGACATAGGCATGGGCAAAGACTTCATGACGAAAATGCCAAAAACAATTGCAACAAAATCCAAAATTGACAAATGGGATCTAATTAAACTAAAGAGCTTCTGCATAGCAAAAGAAACTATCATTAGAGTGAACAGGCAACCTACAGAATGTGAGAAAAATTTTGCAGTTTACCCCTCTGACAAAGGTCTAATATCCAGAATCTATAAGGAACTTAAGCAAATTTACAAGAAAAAAACAACCCCATTAAAAAGTGGGCAAAGGATATGAAAAGACAATTTTCAAAAAAAGACATACATGTGGCCCGCAAAAACATGAAAAACAGCTCAACATCATTGATCATCAGAGAAATGCAAATCAAAACCACAATGAGATACCATCTCATGCCAGTCACAATTGTCATTATTAAAAAGTCAAGAAACAATAGTTGCTGGCAAGGCTGTGGAGGAATAGGAATGCTTTTATGCTGTTGGTGGGAAAGTAAATTAGTTCAACCATTGTGGAAGACAGTGTGGTTATTCCTCAATGATCTAGAACCAGAAATACCATTTGACCCAGCAATCCCATTAGTGGGTATATATCCCCCAAAATATAAATCATTCCACTATAAAAACACATGCACATGTATGTTTATTGCAGCACTATTTACAATAGCAAAGACATGGAACCAACCAAATGCCCATCAGTGATAGACTGGATGAAGAAAGTGTGGTACATATGCACCATGGAATACTCTGCAGCCATAAAAAGGAATGAGATCATGTCCTTTTCAGGGACATGGATGAAGCTGGAAGCCATCATCCTCAGCAAACTAACACAGGAACAGAAAACCAAACACTGCATGTTCTCACTCATAAGTGGGAGTTGAACACTGAGAACACATGGACACAGGGAGGGGAACAACAGACACCAGGGCCTGTTGGGGGGTTGGGGGAGAGGGAAGGAAACTTAGAGGACAGGTCAATAGGTGCAGCAAACCACCGTGGCACACTTATACCTTAGTAACAAACCTGCATGTTCTGCACGTTTCCCATATTTTTCAGAAGAAATAAAGAAAAACAAAACAAAAAAATAATTAATGAGCAGAACATAACTTGTGGGCTGATTGGAAGTTGAAGGTAAAGGACAGGATGGTAATTAGTATAGTCTCAAGATTTGGAGTTGAGCAGGTGAGGAATGGCTGTAGAATCCTCAGAGGCATGGATTAGATTGAAAATGAACAATTACAGAAGATGGATAATAAGTTAACTCACTTTCCTTTCATGTTGAGCTATCTTTGACATTGCCAAGGGAAAATATGTTATGAGAAGTTGGATAAGTAAGTGCAGAGCTCAGGGAAATCAATATAGATGATAGATATATATGGATGAAACCTTAAGCTTCATTGCCATTTGGTAGAGACTAAATTGCAGTGGGCTAACTGAGCCAAGGATGTGGATGTAGAGTTGGTACTTTGTGACTTTTTAAAAATACAGTTATGCTATAAATAGAAAATGATTTTTAAATATGGGCGTGGTTTGAACATATGTCTATGCAGAGATGAAAATTTACGGAAATATTGTAAATAGTTAAGCAAGGGAGTATATTTGAGGGAAGTCTCTGAAGACATGAGGTAGAACTCAGATGGAGACAAACCTCAGATTTTGGAAGAAGATTTTGTCTCTTGATGTGATAAGGAAAAAAGGTAAGGGTGAACGCAGCTGCTTGGAGGTTTGTGGCTGGGTGCCTAGGGAGTACACATATGATAGTCGTTATTTTTTATGAAATGCGAGGTGAACTCACTCCTCAAGTCTTCCTTCAGTAGACTGATCATTCTCTGATGCGGCCCTTAGGTCACTAACATAGCTGTTGTAAAATTGCCTAATTCTCCAGGGGATGTGTGTTGTTTAGGCACAGGCTTGGTTTATATTTTGACATGTCATAAGCACTGTATGTCATCTTTCCAGAGCACTTACTGTCTTAGGGAAGGGCAGAAAGTCTTCTCTGATCACTCAGTTTTCATTTGACCATAAACTTGTCATGTGGCCCTAGGCAAAGATGTTCATTTGCTAGATTTTAGGCGTTTGTGTGTGTGTATAGCATGATGAAAATAACATGTATGTGTAGATTTTTATAACAGGATCTACATGAATAATAATTACTCTATAATTTAAAATGACCAGAGAAGTTAAAAAAATAAAATAGCATGACGTGTAGTTTAGACTTTTCTGAGATTAAAAATATTATCAGATAATGTTTTGTATCATTTATTCCCACATCAATATAACCCTTTTCACTTAAAACAAAATGAATGTTTACAGTCATACTCTTCATTGTCTGAGGTCTACAACTTTATTATCTAAATTATTTGTAAAGTTAAAAAAAAAGTGAGCACAGAATTTATGCACCAAATAACTATGACTTAATGTTTTGCTACCTAAAGTAAATGGGTATTTGAATTAAAATAGAAAGATTACCCCACAGGTAATTATGGGTAGGAAGAGTGGGAAGCTCTGTAATGGATGGAGAAATAATTTAGGGACAAAACAAAGATAGATGGTCTGCCTGGCCATCATAGAGAATGAACTTGGAATAATTTAGGAGAAATAAACAAATTTTGTTCACTCTCTCAACCTAGTCCTCGTTGTTTTCCATGCTTAACCTGTTCTGTCTAAACTAGGCATGCTTAGTTACCCCAAGCAGGGTTTTCTTATATTTTAGAAGCAGATGCTCTTAAGGTTCCTTCAGATGTTGATAAAATGACAGTAATCTCCTACAGGAAAAATATCTGTTTTTTTCCATCTGAATAAATAAGTCCCTCCAGTATATCAGCTGAAAAGTCTCTGTTTACTGCTGTTTGCAAAGTGTCTTTCTCTGAAATGATGGCATGCTGGGCAGCCCAGTTCCTCTATGAAGCCAGCATGGTCCCCAGCAGATGCATCTGGTCATTGAGGTGGGGTTTTGCTCTGGCATAATAATAGTCCAAGAGACACAGAAGTCATAAGAACTCATCTTAGTGGAAAATGCCAGTGTGGATTTCTGCATGTTTGACTGATTTAGGTTAGCATCCTTAATCAATATATTAGAGCAACAACTGTAAGTCGTTCTGGACTTCTGGATTAGTGCTGTCAACATGGCAATGTTAACATGGCTAGCATGATAGGAATACAAAGGAGACCAAGTCTGTTGTGCTGGCAGTTGATAAAGGATGTGTCTACCTCTTGGCCCCAGAAGCTCCACATTATGAGGACTAGCTGTGCAGGCTCCAGCTTGGTCCCTGTTAAGTTTGCTTGTTTGGATCTGATTCCTCCAAGAGCTTCAGTAATTAGATGCTAAAGGATTTCTACTAAAAAAATTCTCACTCTCCATGGTTCTGAAAGGCAAGTTGACTGGGATACCAGTTTCTCACCTCTGTGCTACATGTAATCATTTGGACTTGATTTTACAGTTTTTAAAAAGCATTAATATTTTTAGTAATTTTTCTTATTCTACAAAGAATTTCTGATTTATGAAAAATATTGAAACTGCAGAAAAAATTCAAAGAATAAATTTAAAAACACCAATAATCTCATCTAGATAAAGCACTGATAATTTTTTAGGAGCTTTTATTTAAACTGTTTTCCCATTTTATATTTTTTTTACAAAGTTGGAATTATATTCTACAAAAACAACTTCATATGTTGATTTTAAACTTAATATTATATGATACATATTTTTATAATTCTTTACTAATTTTATGAACACTTATCGCATACACAATATTTTATATTGTACAAAGTATACTGTAGAAGCAATATAAAATACACATTTCTTTATTGCTGGAAAATAGATTGCTTTACATTTTTGTACATCTTATAAATAATTCTAATGAACATCCTAAGACACAGGTGCTTGTCTACATTTTAAAGTATTATTTGAATAGAATCCCAGAGACCCAGAAATACAGGTTTAGAGGGTTTGATATTTCTAAGACATTTGACAACTATTGCAAACTTGTTTTCTAGGAAAGTAGTATGGATTTATTTTTCCACAGTAGTGAATGAAGGAAGTTTTAAAATAATGTTCATGTCATGTCTTAACTTTTTAAAAATTTAATAGAAGAAATGAAATCTCATCTTTTTATAAATGTTAGTTTTTGTTTACTCATCACTAAACATTCTTACTATGTTCATTATTCATTCATATTTCCTTTTCTGTGAATTGCCTTTTATTTATTTTTTTGAGATGGAGTCTCACTTTGTCACCCAGGTTATCTTGGCTCACTGCAACCTCTGCCTCCTGGGTTCAAGCGATTCTCCTGCCTCAGCCTCCCCAGTAGCTGGGATTACAGGCACCTGCCACCACATCCAGCTAATTTTTGTATTTTTTTTTTCAGTAGAGATGCGGTTTCACCGTCTTGGTCAGGCTGGTCTCGAACTCCTGACCTCAGGTGATCCACCCACCTCGGCCTCCCAAAGTGCTGGGGTTACAGGTGTGAGCCACTGCATCTGGCCTGTGAATTGCTTTTTAAGTGTCTTTTTGCCTTCCTTTCCACAGAGCATTCAAATGTTTGTCTTAATCAGTTATATGAGTTTTATATATATTAACAGTATTAACCCTTTTGCCGTAATTTTAACAGATATTTTCTCTATTTTCTGCTAGCCTTTTAAATTTATGTTTTGATTTTAAAATAGTTATTTAAAAATTACATGAAGTCTTTTATAATTTTTTGACATTTAAATAACAAATTTGACAAATAATTGTTCCCCATTAAGAAATTTTATAACTATTTACTTCTATTTTTAGAAAGTTTGAATTCTTTTTATTGAACATCTACTCATAAGCCATGTAGAAGTCATTTGATGTGGCTAGTGTCTAGATCTAAGACATTCTTTTATCTTTTATTTTCTGGTTTGTTCTGTAAGTTGGTATCATCATTAGATCTTAACTGTTTTGTTATTTTATCTTACCAGGTTTTATTTTAAATAAATTTACCACATCATTTTATGTTTCCAGTGTGATGGACAGAGTAAGCTTCTCTTTTTTTTTTCTAGATCATCTTCTACAAAATTTACCTTTCCCTAAACATTTGTAAATGACTACTATGGACATTGGCATTAGGGAAAAGCTGTGAGTCCCATCCATGACTCTCTAAGTGTTTGGTCTTGTAGCATTCCTCAGATAAAGCTTCCATTGATATCAGATAGATTCTTAAATTCTAAACCCTTTATCTAAATAGTACAAAAGATCTCCAGGCTCTTTACATTTTTCTTTAAAATATGCAGAGAACAAGAAATCACAATTTAAGTGTTAGTTAGATTTATTTAAGCTTGTTATAATCCTGGAAGCAGTACACAAATCTAAAAGACTGATAGTCAAGTTAATTAGTTTTTGAGGGTCTTTATGTCTTCTTAATCATTGACTTAATAGTTCCAAATAGCCTTATAAGTTTTAGCTGCTGTCATTTATTACTTAGGAAAATTAATTTAGATTAAAATAATTTAAAGACAGGTTTTGATGAGAATACTATGAGTATATTCATTGTCTAGGGACTATGTATGAGATAATCAAAGATTTTCTACTTTCTAAATCATTTGACTGTAGAAATTTCCACAATCTTCTTTACAATGTTCCTTGGTAAAGGCTAAATATTATTTACCAGGTAAAGAAAAATATTCTAAAATGTATGTAATTAATATATAGCTAAGCAATTTTTATTCTCTGAAATTGTCACCTAATTAGTTCATGGGCACTCTATGCCCTGATAGGCAGAAATGAACTATGTACATTATGACACACTTGTATAGGAATAGATGTATTTAAAAGATTTAGATACTACATTGTGTCAGCTCCAGTAAACTGAATGATTGTAACTCAATGGCTCAATGCTACAGGTCCAGATACATTCACGGAATGCTCGTTTGCTAAAAGCCCTTCAATGTTTCTCCCTCTGCACCTTAGACCTTAAGCGCTCTTCTGTGGGCAGCTGAGACCACGTTGTATCTGACTCCCCTTCCATCTTTGTTTCAGCAGATAGAGTGCTCTGTTTCTACCCCAACTCTTCCCATCCATAGCTGCAAGAAGCTAGGTCAGAGATAAAGTGAACATTCCTTGGCATGATGTTTCTTCTTTTTTTTTTTTAGGTTTTTTTTTTATTATTATTATACTTTAAGTTTTAGGGTACATATGCACAATGTGCAGGTTAGTTACATATGTATACATGTGCCATGCTGGTGCGCTGCACCCATTAACTCGTCATTTAGCATTAGGTATATCTCCTAATACTATCCCTCCCCCCTCCCCCCACCCCACAACAGTCCCCAGAGTGTGATGTTCCCCTTCCTCTGTCCATGTGTTCTCATTGTTCAATTCCCACCTATGAGTGAGAACATGCAGTGTTTGGTTTTTTGTCCTTGCGGTAGTTTACTGAGAATGATGATTTCCAATTTCATCCTTGTCCCTACAAAGGACATGAACTCATCATTTTTTATGGCTGCATAGTATTCCACGGTGTATATGTGCCACATTTTCTTAATCCAGTCTATCACTGTTGGACATTTGGCTTGGTTCCAAGTCTTTGCTATTGTGAATAGTGCCACAATAAACATACGTGTACATGTGTCTTTATAGCAGCATGATTTATAGTCCTTTGGGTATATACCCAGTAATGGGATGGCTGGGTCAAATGGTATTTCTAGTTCTAGATCCCTGAGGAATCGCCACACTGACTTCCACAATGGTTGAACTAGTTTATGGTCCCACCAACAGTGTAAAAGTGTTCCTATTTCTCCACATCCTCTCCAGCACCTGTTGTTTCCTGACTTTTTAATGATTGCCATTCTAACTGGTGTGCGATGGTATCTCACTGTGGTTTTGATTTGCATTTCTCTGATGGCCAGTGATGATGAGCATTTTTTCATGTGTCTTTTGGCTGCATAAATGTCTTCTTTTGAGAAGTGTCTGTTCATATCCTTCGCCCACTTTTTGATGGGGTTGTTTGTTTTTTTCTTGTAAATTTGTTTGAGTTCATTGTAGGTTCTGGATATTACCCCTTTGTCAGATGAGTAGGTTGCGAAAATTTTCTCCCATTCTGTAGGTTGCCTGTTCACTCTGATGGTAGTTTCTTTTGCTGTGCAGAAGCTCTTTAGCTTAATGAGATCCCATTTGTCAATTTTGGCTTTTGTTGCCATTGCTTCTGGTGTTTTAGACATGAAGTCCTTGCCCATGCCTATGTCCTGAATGGTAATGCCTAGGTTTTCTTCTAGGGTTTTTATGGTTTTAGGTCTAAGATTTAAGTCTTTAATCCATCTTGAATTAATTTTTGTATAAGGTGCAAGGAAGGGATCCAGTTTCAGCTTTCTACATATGGCTAGCCAGTTTTCCCAGCACCATTTATTAAATAGGGAATCCTTTCCCCATTTCTTGTTTTTGTCAGGTTTGTCAAAGATCAGATAGTTGTAGATATGTGGCGTTATTTCTGAGGGCTCTGTTCTGTTCCATTGATCTATATCTCTGTTTTGGTACCAGTACCATGCTGTTTTGGTTACTGTAGCCTTGTAGTATAGTTTGAAGTCAGGTAGCGTGATGCCTCCAGCTTTGTTCTTTTGGCTTAGGATTGACTTGGCGATGCGGGCTCTTTTTTGGTTCCATATGAACTTTAAAGTAGTTTTTTCCAATTCTGTGAAGAAAGTCATTGGTAGCTTGATGGGGATGGCATTGAATCTATAAATGACCTTGGGCAGTATGGCCATTTTCATGATATTGATTCTTCCTACCCATGAGCATGGAATGTTCTTCCATTTCTTTGTATCCTCTTTTATTTCATTGAGCAGTGGTTTGTAGTTCTCCTTGAAGAGGTCCTTCATGTCCCTTGTAAGTTGGATTCCTAGGTATTTTATTCTCTTTGAAGCCATTGTGAATGAGAGTTCACTCATTATTTGGCTCTCTGTTTGTCTGTTATTGGTGTATAAGAATACTTGTGATTTTTGTACATTGATTTTGTATCCTGAGACTTTGCTGAAGTTGCTTATCAGCTTAAGGAGATTTTGGGCTGAGACAATGGGGTTTTCTAGATATACAATCATGTCATCTGCAAACAGGGACAATTTGACTTCCTCTTTTCCTAATTGAATACCCTTTATTTCCTTCTCCTGCCTGATTGCCCTGGCCAGAACTTCCAACACTATGTTGAATAGGAGTGGTGAGAGAGGGCATCCCTGTGTTGTGCCAGTTTTCAAAGGGAATGCTTCCAGTTTTTGCCCATTCAGTATGATATTGGCTGTGGGTTTGTCATAGATAGATCTTATTATTTTGAGATATGTCCCATCAATACCTAATTTATTGAAAGTTTTTAGCATGAAGCGTTGTTGAATTTTGTCAAAGGCCTTTTCTGCATCTATTGAGATAATCATGTGGTTTTTGTCTTTGGTTCTGTTTATATGCTGAATTACATTTATTGATTTGCATATATTGAACCAGCCTTGCATCCCAGGGATGAAGCCCACTTGATCATGGTGGATAAGCTTTTTGATGTGCTGCTGGATTCGGTTTGCCAGTATTTTATTGAGGATTTTTGCATCAATGTTCATCAAGAATATTGGTCTAAAATTCTCTTTCGTGGTTGTGTCTCTGCCCGGCTTTGGTATCAGGATGATGCTGGCCTCATAAAATGAGTTAGGGAGGATTCCCTCTTTTTCTATTGACTGGAATAGTTTCAGAAGGAATGGTACCAGTTCCTCCTTGTACCTCTGGTAGAATTCGGCTGTGAATCCATCTGGTCCTGGACTCTTTTTGGTTGGTAAGCTATTGATTATTGCCACAATTTCAGAGCCTGTTATTGGTCTATTCAGAGATTCAACTTCTTCCTGGTTTAGTCCTGGGAGGGTGTATGTGTCGAGGAATTTATCCATTTCTTCTAGATTTTCTAGTTTATTTGCGTAGAGGTGTTTGTAGTATTCTCTGATGGTAGTTTGTATTTCTGTGGGATCGGTGGTGATATCCCCTTTATCATTTTTTATTGCATCTATTTGATTCTTCTCTCTTTTCTTCTTTATTAGTCTTGCTAGCAGTCTATCAATTTTGTTGATCCTTTCAAAAAACCAGCTCCTGGATTCATTGATTTTTTGAAGGGTTTTTTGTGTCTCTATTTCCTTCAGTTCTGCTCTGATTTTAGTTATTTCTTGCCTTCTGCTAGCTTTTAAATGTGTTTGCTCTTGCTTTTCTAGTTCTTTTAATTGTGATATTAGAGTGTCAATTTTGGATCTTTCCTGCTTTCTCTTGTGGGCATTTAGTGCTATAAATTTCCCTCTACACACTGCTTTGAATGTGTCCCAGAGATTGTAGTATGTTGTGTCTTTGTTCTCATTGGTTTCAAAGAACATCTTTATTTCTGCCTTCATTTCATTATGTACCCCAGTAGTCATTCAGGAGCAGGTTGTTCAGTTTCCATGTAGTTGAGCGGTTTTGAGTGAGTTTCTTAATCCTGAGTTCAGTTTGATTGCACTGTGGTCTGAGAGACAGTTTGTTATAATTTCTGTTCTTTTACATTTGCTGAGGAGAGCTTTACTTCCAACTATGTGGCCAATTTTGGAATAGGTGTGTTGTGGTGCTGAAAAAAATGTATGTTCTGTTGATTTGGGGTGGAGAGTTCTGTAGATGTCTATTAGGTCTGCTTGGTGCAGAGCTGAGTTCAATTCCCGGGTAGCCTTGTTAACTTTCTGTCTTGTTGATCTGTCTAATGTTGACAGTGGGGTGTTAAAGTCTCCCATTATTATTGTGTGGGAGTCTAAGTCTCTTTGTAGGTCACTAAGGACTTGCTTTATGAATCTGGGTGCTCCTGTATTGGGTGCATATACATTTAGGATAGTTAGCTCTTCTTGTTGAATTGATCCCTTTACCATTATGTAATGGCCTTCTTTGTCTCTTTTGATCTTTGTTGGTTTAAAGTCTGTTTTATCAGAGACTAGGATTGCAACCCCTGCCTTTTTTTGTTTTCCATTTGCTTGGTAGATCTTCCTCCATCCTTTTATTTTGAGCCTATGTGTGTCTCTGCAGGTGAGATGGGTTTCCTGAATACAGCACACTGATGGGTCTTGACTCTTTATCCAATTTGCCAGTCTGTGTCTTTTAATTGGAGCATTTAGTCCATTGACATTTAAAGTTAATATTGTTATGTGTGAATTTGATCCTGTCATTATGATGTTAGCTGGTGATTTTGCTCGTTAGTTGATGCAGTTTCTTCCTAGTCTTGATTGTCTTTACATTTTGGCATGATTTTGCAGCGGCTGGTACCAGTTGTTCCTTTCCATATTTAGTGCTTCCTTCAGGAGCTCTTTTAGGGCAGGCCTGGTCGTGACAAAATCTCTTAAACTGGTCAGTTTAGACTCAGTAGTTAATTAATCATTTGTTGAATTGACTTTTGGTAAATTTGCCTGTTTTCAGAACCTCTAGGGTAAAGATAATATAAAATAATCTATTACAACTTCTACTTTCTTCCCGAGCATATGGGAAACAGGGCATGTGAGTTTTGACCAATTACAAACAGGTGTCAAGAAGCTTATATGTACCCGAATGAAGTGACAAGGTGCAGACTACCTGGCTGGCACAGTCTAGATTCCTGGTTTGAGCTTATTTTCGGTCACTGGGATGAGAAGTTTTCTTGTCCACTTTCATGTAAGTACTTGCATCTGATAGCATGGTTAATCTGCATTGACCAGTGCTACTCCCCACTTTTCTCTGTCAGCAATATGTATAGTTTCTAAAACTCTTCCTGAAAAAAATTTTGCCCTCCTTATTACTCAAACAGTTGAACAAACAACCAAAAAAAAGCTATTTTAGTTTGCTGCCACAAACCAAGGAGGATTACCTGTGCATAAAAATGGTGTGTTGAATTCTCTTCACCTTGTATTTTAATGTTGCATAAGTAGTCAGACCAGAATGAAACAAATATTGTGAGAAAATGATAGGGCATTCTTGAACTGGCAACTGAAGGCAAGATTGTGGACTCTATAATTCACCCTTCTCTTGTCTATACCAAGAAAAGTACCTGGAATACAATGGAACACAACAAAAATTTGTTGAATTAAAAGCATGAATAAATAAATGAATACATTTTTTATGTGGCGAAGACACACTTTCCCTTTCAAATAAAGTGTAACTCACAGGCTGCATGTTCAGATGACACTTGTCCCCAAGTGTTTTTCATTTTGAACTGTCAGCTGGAATATAATGAAGTGTGGAAAGGTACACACACAGCTCTCGCGTGTGTTAGTTTGACATGTCAAAATGACCAGAATAGGTTTTTAGTTTGACTTTTTTGGTAACAGTCAACTTTAAAAAGTACAATGCAATGTGGAAGGAGGAGTTAAAAATTGTCAGAATTATGCATAGCAGGAGAAATGCAAAACATTTCGTCAATGTAAATAAAAAATTCAGAGAACCCAGGGTGGTAATAACCATGGTATAGATGCAGAATGATCTCTAAATTCTGTCTTGACAATTCTCTGTTCTAACTTTGGTATTTCCAAATCTCTATTCCGTGGCTTCCAGCCTCCATCTTCTGCTTTCCTCCCCAAGTAGTCTTTTTTCTTTATTGATCTGTTAAGTAGGTTAATATAAGGCATGTTCAGATCCTCAAAACTGCAGACGAGTTCTTAGTGATCTTGGTCACACTTACAAAGGGGCTGTCATTCTGCAAAGGGACAATGACAGAAGGTCCTTCCTCCTTAGGCCAATTCTAGTGCATAAGCAGTGGTCTTCTTCACCATTGACATTGATTGTGACACTAGACCTCTTCCCAGCACTGTGTTTTCCCGGTAGCTAAGACCTCACAGACGAGTTGGATTTGAGAAAGTACTGCTGTAGTTCTTCTATTAATAGTTAATCTTAGGCTTTACAGTTTGGATTTCCCTAGTACAGATCCTATAACAGATGCACCTATATAATCTAATGAATCCGTGCCTTCAAAGGAATGTCAGACAATATGGACTGGTAGATCTGACCCACTAAATAATAACATCCTAATTATAACCAATAGCTGTCACAAAAATCTCAGAATCTCTAAGTATATGTTCAAAACATTTCCTATTTCATGCTATATCATAGGAATTGGCATATGGAGATTACACAGAGGGCTTTCACACCTGATGACATTGGTCTTGGTAATGATTTCTTGGATATAACACCAAAAGCACAGGTAATAAAATCCAAAATACACAAATGCAGTGACATCCAACTTAAAAACTTCTACCCATCAAAGAAACATTCGATAGGATTCAAAGGCAACCTATGGGATGGGAGAAAATAATTGGAAGTCATATACCAGGTAAAGGGTTAATGTCTAGAATATATAAGGAAATTCTACAACTCAACAGTGAAAAAAACCAAATAACCCTATTTAAAAAATTGGCAAACAACTTGAAGAGACATTTGTTGTGGGAAGTCAGGGACCCCGAACAGAGGGACTGGCTGAAGCCATGGCAGAAGAACATAAATTGTGAAGATTTTATGGACATTTATTAGTTCCCCAAATTAATACTTTTATAATTTCTTAACGCCTGTCTTTACTGCAGTCTCTGAACATAAATTGTGAAGATTTCATGGACATTTATCACTTCTCCAATCAATACTCTTGTGATTTCCTATGCCTGCCTTTAATCTCTTAATCCCGTCATCTTTGTAAGCTGAGGATGTATGTCACCTCAGGACCCTGTGATGATTGCGTTAACTGCACAAACTGTTTAAACAATATGAAATCTGGGCACCTTGAAAAAAGAACAAGATAACAGCGATTTTCAGGGAACAAGGGAGATAACCTTAAAGTCTGGCTGCCTGTGTGCCGGGCGGGACAGAGCCATATTTCTCTTATTACCGAAAACAGGTAAGAGAAATATGGCTGAATTCTTTCCCCAGTAAGGAATATTAGTAATTAACAGCCCTGGGAAAGGAATGCATTCCCAGGGCAGGGCCTTTAAAATGGCCGCCCTAGGAGTGCCTGCCTTATGCAGATGTAGATAGGGATGAAACACACCCTAGTGTCATGCAGTGGCCCCAGGCTTGCTAGGATTAGGAAATTCCAGCCTGGCGAATTCTAGTCAGACCCGTTCTCTGCTCTTGAACCCTGACAGTGCATGCACAGCAGGAAATGGAAGTTCATTAGTGATTCTAGTTTTGCCCTGACCTTCTGCCTTGTGATCTTTTGTCACCCTTGAAGCATGTGATCTCTGTGACCCACACCCTATTTGTGCACTCCCTCCCCTTTTGAAAATCACTAATAAAAACTTGCTGGTTTTATGGCTCAGGGGGCATCACGGAACCTGCCGACATGTGATGTCTCCCCCAGACACCCAGCTTTAAAATTTCTCTCTTTTGTACTCTTTTCCTTTATTTCTCAGACTGGCCAACACTTAGGGAAAATAGAAAAGGACTCACGTTAAATTATTGGGGGTGGGTTCCCCCAATAGACATTTCTCTAAAGAAGATATAAAAATGGCCAATAAGTGCAGGAAAAGATGCTCAGCATCATTAATAAACGCAGATCAAAACCACAATGAGATATGACTTCACACCCAAGAGGATTACCACTCTCAAAAGAACAGAAAATAACAAATGTTGGAGAAGATGGAGAGAATTTGGAACCCTTGTGCACTTTTGGTAAGAATGAAAAATAGTGCAACTCTTATGGAAAGCAGCATGAAGATTCCTCAAAAAATTTAAAATACAATCACCATATGACCCAGTAACTGCACTTCTAGGTATATATCTGAAATAATTAAAAACAGAATCTCTATGACATATTTAAATATCAATTTTCATTGTAGTATTATTCACAATAGCCAAGAGGTGAAAGAAATCCAAATGTCCATTGACAGATGATGGATAAAGAAAATGTGGTATACACATGCAATGGAATACTACGTGGTCTTAAAAAAGGAAAAAAATTCTGTCATGTCCTACAACATGGATTAATCTTAAGGTCATTATGCTAAATAAAATAAGCTAGAGAAATGCTCTTTGATTCCCCTCATATGAAGTATTTAAAGTAGCCAAAATCATAGCAACCAAAAGTAGAAAGGTGGTTATCAAGGACTGGGGAAAGGGAAGAAGGTGAACTGGTATTTAATGGCTGTAAAGTTTCAGTGTTGCAAGATTAAATAGTTCTAGAGATCTGTTGCATAATAATATGAATATACTTAGTACTACTAAACCGTACACTTAAAAATAAATATGATGGTTAAAAAATCACATGTGTAGTTAATTTTCCTCTAATTTTTAACCATGCGATGGTTAAAAAAAATACATTAGTGGTTAATTTTCCTCTAATGAATGAGTGTAATGTAGTGGTTCATTCCTGGCTTGAAGGCAGGCAGGCCTGGCTTAAATCATGGCTCTGTTACTTACTAGCTGTGTATGTTTAGATAATAGTTTTACCTCTTTGACTCTATTTCTTGATAATGTGAATAATAAAATCAAATTAGAACTTTGAGGAATAGACTTAATGTATATAAAATATATATTACAAGTATTTACTCAATAAATATTAACTATTATTACTCATTTCTATTGGCAGTATGAAAGTAGCTAATGAGATCTGTTCTTCAGGAATAAGTTAATGTATTTAGTGTATTTCTAACTAAACTGTAACTTAGGCCATTCTTTTTTAGTTATGATATTTGGTTCTTTCAAGGTAAACATGAATTTAGTCTAAAAATATAGAACTTTCAATTAATGTTCACAACTCCCCATATATGTGGCACGAGGACTTCACTATTGACATTTTGAAAATAAATTCGTTGTTTTCTCCTCCAAATCACTCTTCATTCAGGTTTCCTACCTTGGTAAATGCCAAAATCACTCATCTAGTTCTGAAGGAGGAAGGGAAGGGAAGTGGAGGGAAGGAAAGGGGAGGGGACGGGAGAGGAGAGAAGCTATTTTGGGGAGCTATTTTTGAAACTGCCTTTGTGAAGTTTTGACAGTAAGCTAAGTCTGACGTGGTTGACTCCATCTTGCTTCTGACCTCCAGGTTGTCCTTGGTAATTCCTGGGCATAGGTCAAGCTAATTTTGGGAGGACTTTAATTTATAGTTTAACTTTGAAGCAATGATAATACTAGTAACAGTCTCTCTTTAAAATGTATCCCCTCCCTGTTTGGGGGCTGAAACTCCCTTTGTAAGACTAGTGAAAGGCCATAAGATTAGGAATATTGGATGGGCCTCACTTCTGCTAAAACATAGGCATAGTTTCCACAGTCTCTTGCTGTTCAGTAGTCAAGTGGCCAGAGATCACAAGATTTGTGACTTCCCCAATTGCTCCTGTGGAAAACATCACTATTGTAAAACATAAAGGGTTGGTTTTTTGAGGTATTCTTCAGACTGACCCCACCTGGAACTGTGACTCATCACTCAACTTGTCCCATGGCCTCACCCAGAGGTAGACTCACTGAATGGGGACCATTTTCCACACCCTATTATTTCACCCCCAACTAGTCAGCAACACCCATTCCCTAGCCCCCTGACCACGAAAGAAAGTGTCTATAAAATCCCTAGTCTCTAAGCCTTTTGAGAGACTGATTTGATTAAGAAGTCCATCTCCTGTGTGGCCAGCCTCACATCAATTAAACTCTTTCTCTACTGCAATGTTGTGATCTCAGTGAATTGATTTTTTTCTGTGCAGTGGGCAGAAAAAAAATCCATCCAGTGATTACATTTTTACATCCTCCCTCTCCTTCACCCTCCATATCAACCATGTCCAGATGCTGGAAATTCCCTCACTCTTTAATGTGTTCATCTGGTTCCATACGTATTTGTTAACCAACTGAATAAATTAAAGAGGAATGAATGAAGAAGAATATGATTGTCCCCTTACAAATGTGAGACTACACATATAGAAAAACATTGACTTCATCACTAGAAACCTACACTAGGACTGCCTCTAGAAATGGTCAGGGGCTAGGGGCATTCTTGACTCCTTCCAGCTGTGTCCACTTTATTATTTTGTGAATTTCTTTTTCCTTTTTCTAAAGTTCTGTTTCCCTTTTTATTCTCTTTCTCTTCTTTGTTCCTCCCTTATATTTTCATTTTTCTTTATTTAGTATGACTTCAAACCAAAGCTGTCTGAATTTCAATGACTATTAAACAGAATGGTGAGCACCTAAGAGTTTCTAGAAAACAAACCAAAACTGTCTCCATATGTCTCAATACTTTGCTATCAGACACCTCTTTTAAGTGTTCAACAATTTTGCTAACGAATATGTGGGTTTTAACATGTAAAGACAGTGAAAATGAATTTTGATGAGCATATGCTGGTTGTGCCAAAAGTTTGGCTGTTTATATCCTGTCTGTTTAGAGCTGTACCTGCATCATTCTAATGCAAATATGCCCAGAGGTAAGTAGTTTTCCAACTTGCATCATAAGCACATTGACTACTCTATGTGTAAAATCCCACTGCCAATCTGACTTGTAGCTATTAGAGTTAGAAATAACCAATTATATTTGATGCTTCTTCTTCATATGTATATTTGCATTCAGAGCTAAAGTTATAGATTCCTTTTTATGACCCTTAAAATACTATGTTAGCTAAATATTCACACTTGTCCTTTTTAGCTTTACAAGAAATGTCACACACTAGGTTTCTGTAAATGACCCACATTGAGATGTGAACAAAACATAATAGCTTCTGCCACTCACAAAGCAATGAATTGCTGCAAATATAGGACACAGGGCAAAGGACTTTGTAAATTACTTTGTTTCATTGGCCATCATCAGAACCTGTAGCATAATATGTCACCTATTGCTGTAAACAACAATGCCTAAGGCGTTATGAACAGGCGGAATATAGTTTCTCTTTTAATTATCTTTAGAAGAAATAATTTAGAAATATAAAATTTTCAGATATATTGAATAGCTGTATTTTTGAAAGAAATCCAAATTTGCAACCATCACCATATAATGACGTATATTGCAATAGAATACTATAAAATTTTAGCTTTTTATTTAAAAACAACCCAAACCTATAAAAATTATAAGCATACAATGAACTGATATCCTTCTCCTAGAGACATTAATTGTTAAAAATTTTCCATGGTTGGTTTAATTTTTCTCCTCTGTCATCTAATATAATCCAATGTCTTTACTTTTTTTGTTTGTTTGTTTGTTTGAGATGGAGTCTCGCACTGTCACCCAGGCTAGAGTGCAATGGCGTGATCTCATTTCACTGCAACCTCTGCCTCCGAGGTTCAAGTGATTCTCCTGCCTTAGCCTCCCGAGTAGCTGGGATTACAAGCGCCTGCCACCACACCCGGCTAATTTTTTGTATTTTTAGTAGAGACGGGGTTTCACTATGTTGGCCAGGCTGGTCTTGAACTCCTGACCTCGTGATCTGCCCACCTCAGCCTCCCAAAGTGTTGGGATTACAAGTGTGAGCCACCACACCTGGCCATATCTTTATTTTTATATAATTCAATTTGATATTCACACACACACACACACACACACACACACACAAGATGGCAGAAAATGGGTGAAAATGTGTGTGTGCATTTCTGTGTATTATTGCTGATGCATTTGAGGATAGCAAACTTTATAACTAAATATGATCATGAAAAGTTCAAACTTAATATTTTATTGAATGTTGCATATACAAAGACAATAGTCTATTGCTCTTTTATCAATGGTAACCAACACCCAATTTATTTAAGAAATCGAGACTGTTTTTACATTGTTTATCATTACAGAAATTCTTCTAACATATAGATGGGCTCCTTAACTTTCTAAAGAACACCAGAAAAGTGAAATTTCCACAGATATATAAAGGGATAAAATATCTTTTGATGTGGAAGAATAAAATAGTTCACCTTTGGATAAATGTTATATTGCTTAATATAAAAGAATTATAAAAAGTATAATTATCAAGTTATATGTTATTAGAAGAATTACATAATTCTCAATTATGTTGAGAATTATGTTCAATTTATTTATTTTTTAAATTTTGCATATACAACCATAGATTATTTTTTCTTTGTATGAGCTTGCTTTATAGAGCTGAAAAATATGCTAAAAATTTATAAAAGTTGGTAATTTAACCTATTAACAACTCGTCATGGAGCTTTTTGCTGCAAAATGCCACCCAAAATGGCATAATAATAATAATAATAATAAAACTAAAATGCAATTAATCTTTGTATAGCTTTCCCTATTCCAACGTGCTATTTTGTTCTCTGTCAAAACATTTGTTTACCATCCTGTAGATCCGGGTTTGGATATTTACATAATTATTCTTTCACACAGAATGAAGGAGAAATAAAGAGGAGGCAGATATTTTCTGGGCAAAAGGAACAGAAGCCAGCAGAAACAGGACTGTGATTCCTAATTAATTCAAAGTTAATTGCATTGTTGATAATCTTGCACTTAAAGTCTTCATATAGAAAATGTTTATGGAGGCAAATTGACAGTAATTCAACTACATTAAATCTTACCACCATTAAAACAAAAAGATGAATGTTACTTTAAACAAACTTAGGAGAATGGTAAAGACTAGTTCTTGTTTAACAAGGCAACTAGTAAATCATTCAAACAGCCAACCTAGAATCTCAAAGTGCAATAAAAGCAGTAGTTGCATTTCAAGATGGCACCAAGCCATATGGCCTGTCTTGGACCATCAGTTAGGCTGAGTGGCAGTTTTGCTTTTGTTTTCACTGTGTGATAAATGTGGAATAGCTGGAAAAAAACACAGAGACATTATTTAGCAGCTAGGGTCAAAATGTTTATTACACTATTTCGGTAAGAGTTGAGACAGGTAGTTAAATGAAGATACATGTTATATCAGTTATTTTAACTGAGTCAACATGATAGAACAAAATAAACTTTGGGCTGGGTGTAGTGGCTCACGCCTGTAATCCTAGCACTATGGGAGGCCGAAGTGGGCGGATCACAAGGTCAGGAGTTCAAGACCAGCCTGGCCAACATGGTGAAACCCTGTCTCTACAAAAAATACAAAAATTAGCTGGGCATGGTGGTGTGGGCCTGTAATCCCAGCTACTCAGGAAGCTGATGCAGGAGAATCGCTTGAACCCAGGAGGCAGAGGTTGCAGTGAGCTGAGATCGCACCATTGCACTCCAGGCTGTGCAACACAGCAAGACAGCATTTCAAAAACAAAAAAAGAAGAAGAAAGAAAGAAAAAAGGAACGAAATAAACTTTGGAGTTATCTCTGAGCTTAAATTCTGTCTCTGTTACTTATAAACAGTGAGGCAAACTTTTTTTTGATATCAGTGTATTAATATGTAAAAAGCAAGATTAAAATAAGGCTAGAATAATACAATGAATGTGAAATTGACTGCCATTATAATGGAAAATCAATAAATTCTAGCATTATCTAGACTAGTTAAAGCAAAATGTAATTATTGAACTAAAAATAATTCTCCACTTTGAATGTGTAGGAAGACACATAATTATGTGAAGCCTAAATATCTTGATAGTCCAATTTATATCTCAGGCCATTTTCTAAAAACTTACTTCTCAGAAGGGTCGTTTATTGACACTGAGACATAAAACATTTTGGTCTGGCCTATTAACTGTTAGTGGCACAATTTTGTGTTTCTGAAACTACTTCCTGCTATGCATGGTGAGACAAACGTACACTAAGTCACAAGATAAAGATTACTTTTCCTCAAGTTTCAATTTCACTCAAAGTTTTGAAAAAGAAAACATATTGTATTAAGCACTGGTAGATTAGGGAAAGTATACACATTTTCTCTTCTCTACCTTTAGGGGTATTCAACCGAAAAGTTTTATAAGCATTGACTTAACAAATATTTCTACTACTCATCTAAATGTTACTTAACAATATCAAATAATTAATATTTCTTATTAAAATATAAATTTGGGGGGCAAGAGGCTGTCACTTTATTAGTATCACAAGAAAAACTGATTTTTCAAAATCAATATTGGAGTTGTTTTGATAAATGGTAAAAAATCAAATGAACATTTTATCAAGTTAGATGCTTCAGCAAATTAATCTGTTTACCATTCAGGTTGGAAGAAAACCAACTAAGAGAAACCCCTGTGCTATCTGACCTGCCCTAGTGGGGTTTCTACCACTCAGGAATGAACCCAAATTTAAATTTTCTTTGGATACATTCCTCACATTTGAACTAGTTTGGATATTTATAATCCAAGTTAACAGCTAAATATTTTTACATTTTTTTCTTAGACATCAAAAATAAGAAGCATGAGTTCAACTGTTTTGATTTTTAGATCCCACGATTAAGTAAGAACATGTGATTGTCTTTCTGTGTCTGACTCATTTCACTTAATATAATGATCTCCAGTTCCATCCATGTTGTTGCAAATGACTGGCTCTCATTATTTTTTATGGCTGAATAGTACTCCACTGTATCTATGTACCATATTTTCTTTATTCATTCATCTGTTGATGGACAAGTAGGTTGCTTCTGAATCTTCCTACTATGCACCCACAAAAAATAAAAATTTTAAAATTTTAAAAAATTTAAAATAAGCAGTAGGCTTATAGGAAATAACTGCAAAAACCTCCGGATTGCAGTTGTTAGATTATGGGATTTTGTTGAGGAAATTATTGCATAATTTCTGAAAGCTTAATCATCAAATAGTTTCTGAAAAAAGAATGAGGAATGTGAACTAAAATAGAAGATAAAAGAAATATGAATTACTTAACACTGGGAGAAAAAACTAAACAAGACTTGGGGAAAATAAAAAACAGGTAACAGATGACTTTATTCTTAGGTTGCACAATGACTCTTGGATATTAGATGCTTTTCAGCGCATCCACAGTGAAGAAACCAAGTTCTTCATACCGTATGACTTGGAGATTTCCAATCAGGAGCTAAGTTATATAGTGAAATGATCTGAGCAGTGGAGAGGAATCAATGGTGAAAGAAGAAAGGTGAGTTGGTCTGAAGGAGCTTTGTTTTTTGGACTGCTCAAAAAACCCTCACTCTGCTGGTATATCAGCAAGTTGATGTTTCTTGGTGTTGTTCTTGAAGTTATTTACTGTTGTTTTGGCCACCATGATACAAATCCTTACTATGGTATAACTGCCATTTGACCTGATTCTTTCTTACCTCTTCAGCCTCATGTCCTGTATCCTCATCCATCCGACCACTTCCCAGCCAGCATGCTTCTTGCCACAATATGATTAAGCTATATAAAAATATGAGCAGTTCACTACACATGCCATACTGTTTCTCGTGTCCATGCATTGCTCTCTGTTTGGAGCAATATCCTCCCAATTTCTCATGTAGTATTTGGTAAACTAATCATTCTTTCAGGGCTCAGCTTGAGTATTTTCTCTGTGGAGTCAACCCAGAGAAAGATTTTAATCAAAATCATTTGGGTCTTAAGTGAAATATTTTGGCATTTTCTTTTTGTCAAACCTGCCTGTCTTACCTGACAGCATCCAACACACAATTTGAGAACTACCTGTTCGTGTGTCCCTCTTTCTTTGTAGACTTGAGATATCCTTGAGGAATAAAAGAGCGGTTTCTTCATCTTTATGACCTCAATCTCTGTCCTCAATCTTTATGCCCTTAATCTTGATCTCTAGAACATAGCACTTGTTTACTGGCTATTTGTTCAATACATAAAGGAATGCATGCAGGAATGAATAGTTGAATAGTTGAATATATTTAGTTAGCCCACAGAATGAACTTATAACTTACCTCATTTCCTACTTGATAGGAACGTAAACATTAGCTTTAAAAAAATTGCATGGGCTCACTCCATGTAATCATTATGTCTTGAATTCTGTTTATTTGAGAATTCATATAATATTATAGCAGACATTTTCAAAACCCTAACTTGAAGCAAAACAAATTTCATGTTACTATATATTTGTTATGGTTACTTCTTCTTCAGAAATCTTTGACTAACAGCATAATTTGTAAAATACCAAAATTGTTGAAATTATCCTAAAAATTAAGCAAAGAGCACTTCCTCTTTAGGATAACTTTACACTGCTTAGCATAGGTAGAGTGCACGTAGTTTCATTATTAAGCGTCACAACATGGAAGTTCAAGAATTTGGGAACAATCCAAAGTTGAGTACCAAATAATTTGAGTTGAACAACAGTACCTAAATAGATAAAACAGAGGAAAACAGAATTACTTGACTATTATGTCTGTTTTAACAAGGGATGAGAGAGAGTGCATACACATGAGAGATAATTAAAATCTAGGTGCTAGAAGAAAAATTGAAGGGGGCTGTGAAATTATTTAATTCTTTAAATGTAGTATTTATGCTCTTCTTAGTGAAATGACTTAGCTGCCCCATGATGGACACGACTAGAACTCAGACTTCAAACCTAGAATGTCCATAACACTGTGTGTAAACATTCAAGTAAATCAAAGAAAAGACAATTTAATGAAATGGAATTGAAGTAAACAATTTAATCAAAGTCATTTGGGTCTTAAGTAAGATATTTTGGCTTTGATTCATTTGAACCATTAGTAGAAATTCAAATTTCTAGACAAATGGCAGCTGTTGCCTCTACATGTACAGACTCAGTAACCATGAGTGGTAGGAATTATAGAAATGTTTATGCAAATAATTTGAAAATCTGTAGAGCACCTGTTATTTCTTGTTGTTGTGGTTATGTGTCTTAAGCATACACAAACATTCCCAAACTTACAGGGATAGACATGTTTATTTTATTTGTTTATTATGTCTCTTCATGCCCTTGGTATTTACACCATGAAGACATTTTCTTTCTTACGATTTTTGTGTATTATTCTTCTCAAGCTCTCTCATGTTTGCTTATTTAGTTTATTTTAATAGAGAAGCAAGGTAGCCCTGTTGAATAATTGATGTACTAATCTCAAGATATAATGCCAGTTTAATTGAGAACAATCATCTATAATCTAAAATGCTAAGAGTGGAGTAGACATTTTCATATATAAGTATTTCAAATAAGTAGTCTAGAATTCTTGTGCTTTAAAAATTTGATCTAGATGTTTGCCATAGTGCTAGCTATTAAGCATGTGCTTTTCATCTTTATGATCTGGAATAAAAATTGCCTCATAAATGGATACTTTATAATATGCTTAATTTCCTTTTATTAAGTTGATAAATGCAGAAGCACAGGACACATTTACAGTATGATGAGAATTTAGGATTACTGAGTTTTATAATTTTTATATTGTTAATACATATAATCTGTCATTTGTGCAAAGACAGTCATGATAATTTCAAAGTATTTTAGCCATTTTTTTGATAAGGAAAAGGTCACTTTCAGTAGTCAGAAAAGACATCATTCTATTAAACTAATTTGCCTACATGCAAATTTTGTCATTTTTACCTCATTAACTATTTATCATGGGGTAAAAAAATATATATTCATGAAGGGGCAGCTCACAGCCTGATGGAGCTGGAACTAATATTTTGCAACTCTAATGATTTTTTGCATCTTTAATTAGATAGCATAAGGTTGATATGATTAGGTCAGGATGTAGTGTTTTTCATTAAAATACATTTTAGAAGCTGTATTCATAATCTGCCCTTGCAATTAAATAATGAGCCTATGAATTTAATATTATCGACCCAATTATTATCCCATGCAAACATATACCTTTAATAAATTTGTGCCGTAGGACCTTCATTAGCAACAGAAAGAATGATATTTCTAGGTACACAGATTGAATGGTTATGGTTAAACTTATATAATGGTTTTAAACATAGCAAGAATGAAAGCTTCAATACCTACACATTTAATTCCAAAATGTGCCTTACTATTTGTTGAAGACTAATTTACATTGTAATTATTTTCTTAAAGAAACTACCACTTTAAAGCAGGCTATTGAAGCTCATAAAAATAGCAGGATATTAGGTAGAGACAGGGGATTGGAGAAAAGTTGTGTATCATGGGACAATGGAGTGTAAATTTAGAGATCCATTCAAGAGCAAAATTGGAAAGCATAAAAAAGAAAATGTCTATTTCTCAAGTGTCTGTATTACCCGGGAACAACCATAAGCAATTAATGAAGATTATTATTTTTGCTGTTGTATGTTATAATAGTTTTTGCTAATAGATGGTTGTAGGATGGAAGTATATAAGGTACTCTAAAAAGAAACTGCCCCTCTCTTATTGTGAACATGTGCAGGAAAACTTACACACACATGAAACTAACCCTGTTTCATCTTTTTATAAGTGTTGCTACTGATCTGTTATTTTTATGCACCAAAATAGACTCCAAACATTCCTTGAGATCTTTAGTTCATTCTTGTTGAAATTTTCTGAAGGTTATATGCAATTTATAATTTTTTAACAAAAGAAGATAAGAAAAACAACCCACATTTAGTAATGAATTACATAGAGAGGGAAAACTAAGCATTGTTATCTACATAGCAAACTGCAGATGGTGTGTTGGTATGATGGCAGTGTTTTCCTAAAGAGAGAGTTTATGTCTACTTGGAGGATACAGTCAGGGTGGGGAGAAAAGCTTTGATTAGAGTCATGAAGGGCAACATTGTAGCCATGCAGATAAAATGGAGGCATGTTGATGGAAATTTGGGATGGACTTAGACTTTTCCATGCAAAAGGAAACAGCGAATAGAGGTATACTGATGGGAAATACCAAGGCAAGTTTGAAAACTAAAAGTAATTTGTGTTGGCTAGAACAATGGGCAGGAGGGTGAAGATCTGCAGGAGAGGTGGACTAAAAACTGGAAATTGCCCAATAGTGGGGACCATGTATTTATCACAGGCAATGGGGAGCCATTGAAAATTTTAATAAAAAAGAAGTAACTCATTCAGTCAATAATCTGGCTTGCCTGAGCATTGAACTCTATAAATTGCTTATTTTAAAGCTCTAATACTTTTACCTCTTGGGAAGTATATTGTTTCATGTACTCTGTTTAATACACAGTTCACCCTTCCGCCATTAAGAGCTGCTTATTCATTGAAATGTCTAAATTATCCTTAGAGGTGTCTATCCAACTCAATCCAATTCCACAATCACATCTGAGTAGTGTTTTACGTGCCATCAAATATTCATCATCTTGACCTGCAGTGGAGGTCTGTCCAGAATTGGTTCCTTTTGGTGTGTTCTTGGTCTCGCTGACTTCAAGAATAAGCCACGGGCCCTCGTGGTGAGTGTTATAGTTCTTAAAGATGGTATGTCCAGAGTTTGTTCCTTCAGATATTCAGATGTGTCTGGAATTTCTTCCTTCTGGCGGGTTCGTGGTCTCGCTGACTTCAGGAGTGAAGCTGCAGACCTTCGCAGTGAGTGTTACAGTTCTTAAAGGTGGCGCGTCCGGAGTTGTTTGTTCCTCCCGGTGGGTTCATGGTCTTGCCGGCTTCAGGAGTGAAGCTGCAGAACTTCGTGGTGAGTGTTACAGCTCATAAAGGTAATGCACACCCAAAGAGTGAGCAGCAGCAAGATTTACTGCAAAGAGCAAAAGAACAAAACTTCCACAGGGTGGAAGGAGACCTCAGCTAGTTGCTGCTGCCGGCCCGGGTGGCCAGCTTTTATTCCCTTATTTGGCCCCACCCACCTCCTGCTGAATTGGTTCACTTTACAGAGCGCTGATTGGTCCATTTTAGAGAGTGCTGATTGGTCCGTTTTTGCAGAGTGCTGATTGGTGCATTTATAAACATTTAACTAGATACAGAGCGCTGATTGGTGCGTTTTTACAGACTGCTGATTGGTGTGTTTACAAACCTTTAGCTAGACACAGAGCGCTGATTGGTGCATTTACAATCCTTTAGCTAGACAGAAAAGTTCTCGAAGTCCCCACCCAACCCAGAAGCCCAGCCAGCTTCACCTTCCAGAGGGATGGTCCCAGGGTTCTGAGCACTTTCCAAACTTGATGGGGATTTGAATGAAGGTGAGGACAAATAAAAAGCCAACTTGGACCTGGCCAAATTTGAAATTTGGAATGAAATGTGGGAGCATGTGGAAATAGAAACCAGGAGTGAGACTTAATCCAAAGTAGTAGGTGAGTGAGTGGTGATTACAAAACAACCTTTGATTTTTGTCAGTTCAAGCATAAACAGGTTGCCTTGATTAGAGGAGATGGGAAGCAGGGCTCGAACTCAGTTAGAATCAAGGAACATCTGAGACAGCAAGAGAACAAAAGGAGGGCACTCAGACAGTCCAAATGGAACACTTGTGGTTCCCTGACTGCAGTTCCAGGGACATTTTGTACTCCTAGGCTTTCTTGTGGAGGCTCCCACCTCAAAATTGACTCAAAGGCTTTTGACACCAAGGGTCAGGCACTGTCTTAAGTATTCACAAACAAGAAACAAACATTTTTATTTCCAAAGAGAATTCTTAAAGAGGCCTAAGCAACAAGGTAGGAAAGTCAGTGAACTGTTTGTTGATGAAGTCAGTAGACTAGTCACTAAAGAAACATTTTTTGTATTGAAGAATCACATCAGTTTTTTTCAGTAAAGAACAAATCTTAGATACCCGAGTGAACACAGCCTAAAAACATGCCTAAATGATCTTAAACAAAGGGGTTTCTATACATTAAACAAGTATATATTCTGAACACTGTATCCAGCATGATTTTCTTCTTGTATTGACAAAATTCCCAGTTCGCCATAAGCATGAAGACAATTACCTTTTAAAGGTTTTTACATAAATGTGGACTGCAATTAGAACTACTAACATTATATAGATTTCAGTTTTGTGCAATGAAGAGATTGATATTCACTAAACTAATTTGAAAATACAAATCATTGCTGCAATTTAAAGATATATATGTGTGTGTGTGTATATATATATATATGAGAGGATGGTTTTAAAAAGGTGTATAAAAACTGACGTTTCTCTTTTTCTTTACTTTTTAAATCGCAATAAGCAAGGAGAGGAAGAAAATGTTCTGTTTTAGTATGGTGGTTTTGGTTAATTGATACACATTACCCCCTTGATCTTTTCTTATCTCTGAACTTCTAGGATGTTTGTTTATAACTTACCCAATATATTGTTAAACTTTTGAAAGGTCATTTGGCCATAAAGAGTTTGATCTCTTCTATAAAATGAAAATGATAGATAAAAACAAAAGGAAAGAATCACTAGGAGCTTCCTGAAGATACCTTAAATGTTTGGGTTTTAAGACTGACAAAGACCTATTACATTTTGCCAAGTACTTTCCCCCTTAACTCTAAAATTATTTCTATTTGAAGTGAAGTGTAATCCATATGTTTTTGATTCATTAACACTTAGTTTGTTAGCATCCTTTTACTACAGTGCTATATAGCAGCCTTTTCATCTTTTTTATAAGCTTATTTTCCTCAGACACAGGAAATCAAGTTTTTCTAAGAGTAAACAAACTTAAACTCAGCGACATGAGAGAGTTTTCTTTGTAATAAGCACCTATTAGCTTTGAACTACTTCTGTACTCAGTATGCGAATCTCTTCTTTAGAGTTCCTTAAGAATCAGATATATTTGAATGAACTGAGACAGAATATGCAGCACTCTATTTTATTATTTACTGAATTTTTCTACTATACATTTGTGTTTGTTTGTTTGAAATGGAGTCTCGCTCTGTTGCCCAGGCTGGAGTGCAGTGGCAGGATCTTGGCTCACTGCAATCTCTGCCTCCCGGGTTCAAATGATTCTCCCCACTCAGCCTCCTGAGTAGCTTGGATTATAGGCACACGCCACCATGCCTGGCTAATTTATGTATTTTTAGTAGAGACAGGGTTTCGCCATGTTGGCCAGGCTGGTCTCGAACTCCTGGCCTCAGGTGATCCACCCGCCTCGGCCTCCCAAAGTGCTAGGATTGCAGGTGTAAGCCACCGTGCCCAGCTTTTCTACTATCTTACATTAATTTATCCACATGATAAAACAGCCAACTACTAACATATTAATGAACAAGTCATTAATGATAGTTATTTAATTGCCATCTTATTATTTATTCTTAGTAATAATGCAAGAGCTACTTATCTTTTAATAATTATGTGGTGGGAAATGAAATTTAATGTACTACATTAAACAATGTCCTTTTCTTTTTTTTTTTTTTTGAAAACAGAATGTTCTTTACCAGGAATAATGAAAGTCACTTTTTCATATCTTACTGGTATTTGAGACACCCAAGTTCTCCAAAATTACTTGCATCTAATAGACTTTAATGAAACTAAAATACAACTGTACTGAAATACCATCTCTCCTATTGCCGTTAGTTCATTTTAGCTTATCTAATTACTACTATAGGACATTCTTTGGGCTTTTAACAATCACAATGCTTTGATAAATCAGTGTTGCAAAAATGTCACCATAATATCACCAACTGCTAAGAGAAATCATTTGACTCTTTACACTCACGTTTTTAGTAGTTAGGTCAAAGAGAGGCAAAAAGATCTTATAATTTGAGTCATCTTTTCTTATGAATAAAGGAAGGGGGAAAACAAATGGGTCAGGCACAATATAGGCAATTTACATGTTGGTTTGTTTAATTCTCAAAGCAAATATACATGGTTGGTATTATTCACATTTTACAGATGGGAAAACTGGGGCTCAGAAAGATTAATTAATATCATTCATTCAGCTATCTGTTCATTGATTTCCTACTTTTTTATTGATTACCTTTAAGGAACTAGGCGCTTTTCTTAGATGCAAATGAAAGTAAAATAAAACTGTCTCTTTCATCATATTCCAATAGGGAAGATAAATAGGAGAAAATAATAGAAATACAGCAGGATAATAGAAATACAGCAGGAATAATAGAGCCATGGGTTGGGTGGTATTGTGGTAGCTTGAATAAAGATGGAAGTAACTCATTTGAAGAGTTCAGGAGAAGATGATGGAGATGGGTATTTAAGATTGTATTAGTCCATTTTCACACTGCCATAAACTACCCGAGACTGGGTAATTTATAAAGGAAAAGGTTTAATTGACTCACAGTTCAACATGACTGGGGAGGCCTCAGGAAACTTACAGTCATGGCAGAAGGTGAAGGGGAAGCAAGGCACCTTCTTCACAAGGCAACAGGAAAGAGGAGTGCCCAGTGAAGGGTAAAAGCCCCTTAGAAAACCATTAGATTTCATGAGAACTCACTCACTGTTACAAGAACAGCATGGGGGAAACTGTCCCCATGATCCAATCACCTCCACCTTGTCTCTCCCTTGACACGTGGGGATCATGAGGATTATGGAGATTACAATTCAAGATGAGATTTGGGTGAGGAAACCAAGCCTAACCATATAAAAGATGAAGAACAGATCAAAGACAAATTTGGCAGTAAAAAGGGGTACTTCAAGCAGAAAATGAAATATCATGGTATTTTGGAGAGCAAAAAGAGGTTGCTGTGGCTGCAATGTAACTCATATAGGCAATATAGGCACTAAGTCTGGATAGGTAGGCAAGAAATGGATACATGGAAAGTGTCTGGATTTAGCTTGACCACGTGACTTCCTGATTGGTCTGGCCTGTTAGTATAATTTGTCAATATTTAAATATCTTTGATTGACCGGGAGCAGTGGCTTATGCCTATAATCCCAGCACTTTGGGAGGCTGAGGCAGGTGGATCACCTGAGGTCAGGAGTTTGAGACCAGCCTGGCCAACATGGTGAAACCCTGTCTCTACTAAAAATACAAAAATTAGCTGGGCTTGGAGTGAGCACCTGTAATCCCAGCTACTCAGGAGGCTGAGGCACCAAAATTGCTTGAACCCAGGAGGCAGAGGTTGCAGTGAGCCGAGATCGCACCATTGCACTCTAGCCTGGGCAACAATAGTGAAACTCTGTCTCAAAAGAAAAAAATGTGTGTGCGTGTGTGTGTGTTCATACACACACACACGCACACACATTTATATATATAAAAATATATAAATATGTGTTTATAAATATATATACATTTATATATAAATATAAATAAATTTATATGTATTTAATATATAAATACACACATATAGATATAAATAAATTTTTATATAAATTTATATATGAACATAATATATAAATATATATTTACATATATATAAATTTATACATATATAAATTTATAAAGATTATCAGATCTATGTTTTGCCAGACAGGACCAGCCTCCTGCCTACTTCCCACACCTCTAAATAAACCTTCTTAAGTCACCCCATTCCACATTCAATGACTAGAGCTCCCATTTAACTGGAAAAAGCACTCACTGTTTTAACTCTCTTCTCTATCCATATGTTTTTCTAAACTTTTGTAATACTTTAACTTGTGAAACTTCTAGGATCCTTTCACATATTTTAGAAAAATAAGCAAAAGACTTTACATTATGATATGATGACAATGGTGACTGATTTGCCTTTATACAATTATTTCATTGAAATAATCATGAAAATAATCTAAGACATGCTAAGAGGGATTTAGAAGAAATGGGTGAATGACAACTAATGCAACACCAAATATTAAAATTTCAGTTAGCAATTTTCTGTACTTCACATAGTTCCACTATATACATAAAACAAAAATTCAGTAGTCAAACCATTCTTTGACCTTGGAAACAGTAGAACTAAGCAAAGCAGAGAAAATTAAGAATTTACCAAAAAAAAAAAAAAAAAAAAAAACCAAAAAATTTACCTCCTCCCTTCCCCACCCCATCACAAAAAATCACTCATGTGCAAACATATGCATAATGAGACTCAGACTGACTCACACAAAATACAGACCACCACAGTGTAAATGAAGGGGGCCTACTTTCTGCTGTGTTTGGGGTCATTTCAAAACTCTACTACAAAATTCCAACTTCTGTCTTACTGGTATCGTATTTTCTGTGTCCATTCCAAAACCACAGTTCCCGGGAATTTAGTGAACTAGTGCAAAAATTACCCATAGCAGACTGTAAAGTCAAAAATTGAAAGGGAAGAAGAATGGAAGATAAAGATTAGAAGTTCTACCTAGAACTTGGGGAGAAAACTGAAATGACTATGAGAAAATTTTCTGAGATTAATAGGCAAACTAAATTTATAGGTAAAACCGAGTCATCAAATATCAGAAAATTAATGAAAAATGCTAATGCCCAACTTGTGTTTAGGTTACGTCTTAGATTATCCAATTACCCAGATTACTTAATTTAACATTCTTAGGACATTATAGATACAATTTTATATCCTGATTTTTTTCATTTGACATTTAGTCAAGAGCATTTCTCATATTATTTTAGAATCTTCAAAATCATAATTTTCAGGGTATACAGTATTCCAGTGTATAAAAGCATCATAATTTAGCAATATCATTATATATCTTTAATTTTTTGTTAAAATGTTAAACACTTAATGATACGGAATTTTTTAAATTCTGAAAATATTCAGGAAGAAAAACAAGCAAATCACCAACAAAGGCATATAACTCAAGCTGAACTCAGACTTTGTCTTTGTAACCCCAGTGTCAGGAAATATGGAATAGTGTGGCAAAGCTTTGGGGAAAAGGAACTCCACGCTCAGTTAAATATTTACTTGAGAGCCACATGAACATTTTCTAATGTATTCAAAGTTTGAGAAAAGATATCATTCAAAAATGTTACCTTCCACCAAAAAGAAAACATAGTCAAATATATTACTTAGTAATTAATCAAAATTAAGAACTGGGAGTTGCAGCCACCTAGTTGTGGATCCTATTTATGGAATCTTTGATTATTAAAACGGTTTTTAGATTTTAAAAATAATTACTATAGGAGGTAGCATATAATGTAAATAATATTGATAAATCAATAATGAACTGATTCTGAAAAATTCACAATTCCATTATCCAAAACTGAGAAGTAGATAAGTGGTACAGAGAGAAATAAAACTACGTCTTACATGGTGAGCACCAATATATTGTTGATCAGAGTGTAAACTGGTAAAATCCTTTTGGAAAGTCATTTGAAAATTATTATTTTACGAATGATCATATACCTTGAGCAAGGAATTTAACGAATATATTTGAAGAAAAAAATCAGAAATGCAGCCAAAAAAATCATTCAAAAGATGATTATTCTAGAAAACATTGTGTAAAATGAAAGAAAACAATATATGCTGAAAACTTGTTTAATTGTGATGAATTTATACATTAGAATGTTTTATATTCTTAAGAATTATTGTTGAGCATTTTAAAATAATATCAAACATGCCCTTATTTGAACGTCAAATGAAAATATCAGGATGTAAAGCTGTCGATATGCTATGCTCCATGCGATTTCAAAGATATCCATAAAATTGTCACGGTTGTTATATCTGCCTTTGATATAAAAGTATAGGAAATTTATGTTACCTTCTTTTTGCTTTTCTAAATTCCCTACTTTTTAACGATGAGTACCTATTACTTTTATATTCTTTTTTTAAGGGTTTTTTTGTTATTGGTATTCACTTCAGTAACTTGAATCCACAGATATCAGCAGTATATAACCAGAAAGTTACAAGTAAACACAAATTATACATGCAAATTTCTGTTCACAAATGTCACCTATGCAGGTACATGAATTAGAAGCGTGCATCTAGGATTATGGCCAAACTGTTTTTAAAATGCAGAAATGTAAAATTGCATCTTGAAAATATGAAGAGATGGTCTACACACTTCAAAAATCAAATGTTGTCATACACCAGAGATGTATGACAATTACGGGATTCAAGTGTCAGCAATAAGATCTCAAAAATTAATACTGGTCAAAGAGAACAGGAATATTTTTACATTTCACTGAAAATACACTGACTACTAGAATATGAAATCTAGCAGGAACTCAGGGAAAAAATTACAAAATCTAAAGCCAATTACTTAATATTTCTTATTACCTAAACAACAGCATGACATTAACAGAAAACTGCACCTGCATTTGAATTGCCAATCTCACGTTAATGAGGTTCTCCGAAATGAACTTCAAACTACAAATGAAAGTCTGGTTCAAACTCCAAATGAAAGTCTGCAAGGCTCAGATTAAAACATGCAATGTTTCAGATGAAAGTAATAAAAAGACTATTGGTTTTGTTCTCTATTGAATAGAATGAAATGTGGACATTTCTTTGAAACTTGGAATTACTAAATTTCATTTTTCCAAATGGTTCTACATTTTTTTCTTAGTGGTGCAAGTTGTCTTAAGTAGCTTACGAAGTCAGTCTCTACAAAGTACTTCTGTCTGTTGCCATTCTGACAAAATGAAAAGTATTCATTAACTTAACCGTATGTGTATTTTTTTTTTTTTTTGCTGTAACACTTAACACATGAACAGACATCTATTATTTCTCCACTAAAACAAAAGAGTACAATAGTTTTCTTCTATCAGTATTGTGTTTAAAAAGGGTTAACGTTAAAAACAACCATTATTTTCTTTGAAATCATTAAATCTTTTTGCACATCTTAAGTTTCCTTCTTCTGTCTGCGTTCTTCTGCCAATGTATTCAGAAATTTCTTAAAAGGACTTATAAAATTGCTAATTAAAAGGAAAAAGTATCAGGCACAATTTAAAATCTTTTTTTAAGCCACCATCTTGTATCATTTAGGAGCATCAGTTCTGCAGAAAGAATATGAAACAGACAAAACAAGCAATTCATAGTACTATGCTCACAAACAGATGTTTGAGCCATGGCAATCTGTTTGCTATGTATAGCTTTATTATCTGTCTTCAGGCAGGGAGGAAAGAAAATCATGGTGAGCATCAGTTTAGTAAGAATGTATTGGCCAACATGCTCATAAGGTGTCTCTTAATCCATTCTGATGATTCTCTTTCAAGATTTGGTGAAACATGTGCCCTTGCTTAACTTTGTGACAGAACCTAGTCACACTTGGTTTCTCCCAATGAGATTTGGTTGGTTGTTCTCTTGCCCACATTTTCTTCTTCCCAATTAGAAATGCAGTTTGGTTTCCTTTGTCAACCACCAACAGCAGCAGTTGTGGTTTATGCCTTGATTAGGTCCTAAAATACAGCTAAGCTGCTGTGACTGTCCCTGCTGTACATTTGGCAGGACTGGAGTCACCATGCGGTGTGCCAAGTGACACATGCTGCCATCTATATTTCGTTCCTGGTTTCCTGGCTGGTCCCTTGGCTTCTTCTCAGGCAAGCTGTTGGACAAGCTCTCATTTCACGCTCCAGCCTGTCACCAGGTCAGTCTATGACTCATCTGTCCCTTTGCTTTACATACGTGGTTATTTTTAATTTCTTGATATGAAAAGGATATTTCTGTTAATTTTTTTGTTAAATGTATTATAATTTATGAAATAAATAAGTTCTACCCTATCCAGAGGGTTGGTCTTTCTAAGTTGCCTTGAAACCCTTGGCTTTTTGCATTTTCCTGATATTCTCTTTCTGAGATTCTTCTAATTGTCTCAGTCACATATAAAACTTAAAAATTGTGAACAGCGTGTTTATTTTTGTCTTTAGAAGGAAATGAGCCATGTCAATAAGTTTGTTTTTTAAGAATGTTTACAAAGAATGCAGTTCTTTAAACCTTCAGTTTTCTTTTAAAGTTTATATCATACTTTTAATTCTTGTAAGATCCAAAGTAAAGATTGAGAGAACCTAAGTACAGGTAATTAACTAATCTTGATCAAAAGGTAGTTAACTTCAAACTCTTGGCATTCTGCACAGGAAAATTGTCACAATCCAATCAGGGATAGAGAAGCTGATACATGCTACATGTACATTAGTTAAAATCTCTACTTTTTAAATACTATGTGTTAACAAAGAAATGTTGAATTTCTAAACCAAATCGTCTCTCCTGCCATGGAGACAAGTTAAGATCCCATCTCTTTTAATGTCTATATCTTTCTTTTTAACATCTGCAGTTTTCATTTCTTTATCTCCATCCTGTGCCTATAGAGCCTTGGACTAAACTACAAACCCCTTTAAAGGGAATCTTGGGGATCTTTTAAAATATAGCAAAGAGCCTCACAGGGATCAACATAGCATAATAACGTTAAGTAATGAAGATCTTATTTCATTATTTAAAAATATATTTGCCTCTTTAAAATGTGTAAAATAATCTTTACCAGCTTTATAAGATAGAATATACTTACCATAATGTTCATCTACTTAAAATGCCCAAGGCAGTGGTTTTTATCATGTTTACAAAATTCTGCAACCATCACCATAATCTTAATTTTTAGAATGTTTTCATCACCCCACGTATCATCATGGAAATAGAAACTTTAATTTAAAAATAAAACTCAAGAGACCTTGAGATTGCTGAAGATATATTTTTGGACTCCAATTTAAGAAGCAATGTTCCAGGTTTTTACAGGAGTAGAGGACAGACCTTCATTGATTCTAAAGAGCTCAACACAATACAATAACCCTCTCACATTCCCAAATATTTACTTTTCCCCAAACATACTTTTCTATCTCTAGGCCTTTGAAGTCATCTTCATTTTATGAAATCCCACTTTCTAAAACACTGTCCCATCAAAATCCTCGGCATTCAACGGCCAGGTTGGCTATCAGCTCCACTATAAAGCTTTCTGGGGTCTGCCTGATGAATGACAGAAACCAACCTCTTCATCTCTGTGTATTCAGAGCAATTAAGAACTTTCTATTGACCATATTCTGATTGTATTTCATATTTTTCACTGGATGTCATTTCTTTCCTTCCTCATTGGAAGCTCCTTAATTTTCTTGTTTCTTCTGTTAATTGAGGATATCTGATTCCCTCCCAGTGCTAGGTTAGGGACTCTCCTACATTAAACATTCAAGTAATGTTGACTTTAACTGAATACACCTGGGCTGAGGTCTTCCTCCTGAGGAAGTCATTTCTGGTTCTGCTGTTGATTGGCTGGTGGCCCAAGGCTTAATAAGCAGAAAGGAATCACTTGTAAGTTGCCATGATGACTCAGGTAGATCCCGCAAAGACAAAAATGCTATTGCTCTCTCACATCTTTCAAGAAATCAGATTACTTCATAGGATATTTAGTTCACTTGGAATTTATGAAGAATGCTCAATGTACACATGATCTATATTCTTTTTTTAAGCCTGAAGAATCCACAGTCTTCTTCCTCTGCCACTGCCCCCTCCACCACCTAGAATAAACTTTAAGGGGTTTTAGGGTAAGAGAGCCTAGAGGGCTTTAACCCCAAAGTTCAATAACGAATGCCAAAGAAAGAAACAAAAAGTGACTGATAGTGGGAGATTGTTTTCCTCTTGAGCTTCATGATAGTTCTTCTGCTATTCTACTGTTACCTACCACACAGTCATGTAAAATGAAATGACACTGAAGATCATCAGGATGGAGAGGGAATTGATTCTCTTATGATAATTATACTTTTCCAAGCTCTCATTTTATTTGTCATACCTTCAGGTTCATAGGAAACATCTACGTTTTTACTTAAAATATCAACATTTTATGTTAGTCCTTTTTTTTTCCTCTTGCTGAAAAAAAAAAAGAGCAATTTCAATCTCGTAACAAACACATTAATTATGTACAGGGCAGATCAGATGAACAGTTTTACTATCATCCTGTTAATTACCGTACCTGGAAGAGGGTTATTTTCTGCAATACTTAAAGAGACAGACTGTTTTTTTACCAGGGTCTATGGAAAGTCATGAAAAACACAGTGCACATTATTGAAAATTTTGCTACAGTTCATGAAGAGCTTTATTGTTATAATTAACTAATAATAGTTGATTACTCTGAAGATGGTTTGACAACAGTATTGGACAAATGCTGCATTTCTATTTGCCTTCCATTTTTCTCAACTCACGCAAGATCATTTGTGTTCAGGAAGCAAACTGATGAAAATGTATCAAAGGAGGGTCTATCGACCAAGGGGTTGACAGAAATAGAGAAGCAAACACTCAGGTTTCTGGCCTATTTGCAATGCCAAATATTTTCAATTCCTGGAGGCAGGACATACTGCACATGCTACTTCAAATCCAGTAGACTTGATTAGCCTTAAAATTTAATGCATTTACCTATTTGACAAGAATAATTAATATCAAGTCTAAGTTCTACAAATAAAATGTGACTTTTAGTTTTTCCAAGGAGTAACATTTTAGTATCATGTATTTCTTGTGTTTTGTTTTGGTGTAGGGAATTCTACATCCAGGATAGTATCTATTTCATGTATTGGAGTCATTGAGGAGGCAATGATCTTTTCTCTTTGCGATGTAATATTAGGGAACAGTTAAAAACGCTATACTGCAACTTTATTACTAAACCAAGTCACCTAGTAACTTAAGTAGTGGTAATCCATCCTGCTGTCCTCCCTTCTTTGCTCCTCGCCACCTCATCCTTCTTGCCTTTCTCTATTCTCTGAGTAATTCTATGTGTAACACTTACACTTACTTATTTTTGTGCCGAAATTAAAGATTTAATACATAATCCTCATGCTCAAGAACTTTGTGAGCCACTCTATAATGGTGTTGGCACCCCTTTTTCTCCTCCACTTTTACTACTTTCCATTTTCAATATTCAGCAAAATTGCCTCTAGTCAATTTTTAAGGGAATATAATGAGGCAGCATGATGACAGTAGTTTAAAAACTAAATTGAAGCACTTTTTATTGATTGGGTATTCTAGTCTCCAAACTTAGCCAATTCTGATGGTTTTAAATGTACAACGTAATGGTGGAGTAGGGTCCTGTGTTTAGCCGTGTTGCCCTAAGACTGATTGTCACGAATTCATTGGCTTAACAAATGAAGATCTATACAGTGTAAATAGATGAGATGGTTTCCATTAGTAGATACAAGAAAAGGGGCATACATATAGTTTTCACATGTAAAAAAACACAGAAACATTCATCGAATAATTCTTTATATCATTATCCTCTGTTGTTTCTGAGAAAAGCTTCCCCAGCTCCAGCTACATTTATGAATACTTCCTCATGAGTGATGAAGCACAGAAGTTAGCTGTTAGATAGTTGTGGAAAGAAATTTTTACATCTGTCTTGATTTTTTGGTGCAGAATTATTTTATATTTTAGGAGTGTTATACAGATGTATGGATGAGACCATTGCTGACCATTTTAGAGTGCTGAAAAATGATCATAAACAAATGAAGTCTCTCTAAAGACAGCTGTTTTGTGCACTGGCTCTTATTTTTTACATTTTAAAACTAAAAGATTTTACTTCTATCATAGCTAACAGTTATTTGAATATCTCTTGGAAACATAATCAATTTGTAGATTTTAACTTAGAACACTGAAACAGATTTTACTTTATGTTAATATCACACATTAGTCTTCAAAATGTTGTCACATTATTTTGTTTGTTCCTTAAGAAATCTTGAGGTAAAGCAGGTCAGGAATTTCACAAGAGGAGGAAATTAGTGAGTGTCGGAGAGGTGACCTGCCCATCTCAAATAAGTGTCCCAGTCAGGACGAAATTCTAGGACGTTTTGCCAGCCACGATCTTTACACACATCAGGACGTTTCAGGAAATGGATGAAAACCTCCTGAATGAGAACCTTTTTGCCTTTACTTGCATGGTTGTTAGTAAGTATGATTTAAATAGGTTACATGACATTTTGCACTCAATTTGAAATCTAAAAATGATGAATGATAAAATGGACTGTGCTAGATGTCCAACCCAGAAATCTCAGTTTGTCTGTCTACGCAGCAACAGTCAAACTTCAGGGAGTGAGTGTTTTAGTTTTTAAATTCTGTATCAACTTGGAACTATAATATTGATCCAATACCTTGCCCATGAGTGAGTCCTGCTCCTGTGGGAGGATCAGGTGAAGAAATACTCAGAGGACCTTGATGAAGTCCTACAGGTGGGAGACTTTTCCAGATCATTGAAGACCACTTTAAAAACCAGAGTAACATATTTTATCTCAATCCTGTAACCTTAATGGAGAGCGTTTTCAAGTCATATATGTGTCTCAACATATTGAAGTAAATAAATTTAAAGTTATCTTCCTGAAATAAGAAATCCGTAGAAAGTAGACTAAAAACATGTTCTTTTGTTCACAAAGAACCACAATTATATGAGACTGAAGGCTAAAAAACTGGCCTGTTTTGTGCAAAGAAATAAAATCCAATCAAAGCAGTTATGTGGCTTTACTGTTGTCACCCAGACGGAGCCCTTGTCTAATTGAAAGTTAAGACATATCACAAACTGAACTTGTGAATCTTGGGAGTAGAACTTTGGATACTTTCTCTTTGCCTCTGCTTTCAGCTTGCTCTTGTACCCTTCTGTTGATGAAGAAAATGTGTAGCATAAAAAACTAGTGTCGTTGGCTGCAAGGCCCAAGAATGAAAATATCACTAAAATGCATGAGTTCACTCAGTACATCTGTTTTCAGCCCATTTACCTTTAGAAGAAGATTCTTTAATAAACTGGTAGTGTCAAAAGTTGCTTAAGAAATTTTGCTCTTTCCACCAATCCTCCTTAGCCTCTCACCTCCAGACACCCAAAATAAACATGTAACCTAAATTAAAACTGTTTGTAGATTTAAATAAGGTACCTTAGCCCACTTCCAAGCAGGATAACACCCTCAATTCCCTCCTATGTATGTACAAAATGTGGAATTACCACTCCCTAAATAGTCCCTGGATTTGGTGTCACTATAGGGTTTTCAGCATATTTGCAGATACCACATGGTTGTTTTGCTATAGCTAAGTGGTTTCCTGGCCAAAGTTCTTTGAGCTTCTTTCTCCTGAATCTTCTTATTTCCCCCAGTATTTTCTTTCCATGACATATAACTAATATATACATAGACACACACATACATATATAGACACACACAGAGATATAGAGTTAGAGATTGATCCTTCCTTTTCTCTTCCCCTTTTTCTTCTGTTTCCTTAATTCTTCTAGTCATTGCTTAAGCTACAGGTTTGAAGACCTGGGAGCTTAAAACCCCTGCCAGTAAGCACAGGTTTATAGACTTGTTATTTTCATTATTGCTTTATAAACGACAGTGTTTGAAGCAGAGTGTAAGTTAAGTAAAAGTATGCTGAGGATTTCAACTGTTTGCATGTTTGGAAGTGATTGTCTTGAAAAGCACAGTTGATTTTGTGGTGTGAAGGAGCCAGGTTTGAAACATATTAGCACTGCTTTCCGGATTCAGTTTCAGTTTAAGAAAGGAAGCTTCCTAGGAAGCATAGATGACGCTTTTTAGGGATTGCACATTATTAGCTTTTGAACGGGCAGGTTGAAAACCTGACACAGTCTGTCAAATGGAATTGATCCATTGGAGGTGCAAGGAAGTGAGCAGTCTTAGTTTAGTGTTTATTTTTTAAAAATTATTATTGTTGGTTTTCTCACTTATTTATTATGAAATACATGAATGATGCATTTCTTTTGAAAGAGTATTGAATGGTAATGTTCTCTTAAAGGAAGAAGGAAAATTACTCGATTTCAAATTGCTGTGATCAACCATTTCATTTTCCCTATTACTATTTCATCTCTTCTATTTAAAAAAAAAACTAGGGACCCTCCTTTGGATATCTTCTTTAAGGAATTTAATATCAATGAATATAACTATGGATACTGCAGTTAACCTTACTATAAGATACAGCTAAGGCATGTATATTACTTCCTTTTTTGAAGTTTAGTTTTTAACATGGAATATTTTTTATCCTCCCATTAAAGAACATCTTCTCCAGCTAAATGTATGAAAGCACTTTTCTAGTTCCTGATAGATGCAGCTGCTTCTGAGAGGTGAAGCCAGCTGGACTTCTGGGTTGAGTGGGGACTTGGAGAACTTTTCTTACAAGAGGATTGTAAAATGCACCAATCAGCGCTCTGTAGCTAGCAGGAGGATTGTAAAATGCACCAATCAGCGTTCTGTAAAATGCACCAATCAACAGGATCCTAAAAGTAGCCAATTGCAGGGAGGATTGAAAAAAGGGCACTCTGATAGGACAGAAACGGAACATGGGAGGGGACAAATAAGAGAATAAAAGCTGGCCACCCCAGCCAGCAGCGGCAACCCCCTTGCGTCCGTTTCCGTGCCATGAAAGCTTTGTTCTTTCACTCTTCACAATAAACCTTGCTGTTGCTCAGTCTTTGGGTCCCTGCCATCTTTAAAAGCTGTAACACTCACCACGAAGGTCCGTGGCTCCATTCTTGAAGTCAGTGAGACCACAAACCCACCGGAAGGAACCAACTCCGGACACACTACTACTTCTACTGCTACTGTAAATAATAAAGCACCGTCACATATGTGATTTCAATGAATTGTCACAACTCTAAGAGAAACATTTTATTTTGCTATTTAGTAGTTAAATGAAGGCTTACAGGAGGCTCCAGGACTTGGATTATGTTACTTGTAAGGGGCCAAGCCTAGACTGAAACTGGTCTTTTGACTTAAGTTTCCTTGTTCTGTATCTTTCCATTACAGCTAGTTGAACCTGATAATAACTCATGATATGACATTTAGATATATTTCACAAAAGAAATGATGACAAAACTCAGTAGTTTGTAGAATATGATAAACTAGTCAATTAAATTAAAAATTAATAATAGTTTTTAAAAATCTAGATTACAATCTACCTTTAAAAAACATTGACTAAGCCAGGCATGGTGGCAGGTACCTGTAATCCCAGCTACTTGGGAGGCTGAGGCAGGGGAATTACTCGAATCCAGGAAGCAGAGGTTGCAGTGAGCTGAGATCATGCCACTGCACTCCAGCCGGGACAACAGAGCAAGACTCAGTGTCAGTAATAATAATGATAATAATAAAATAAATGTACTATGTGTATACTATGTACATTACACAGTGTGTGATAATCCTCGTGAGAAGATAGCAAATTTGAAGTCACATCCCTAGCGTCAAAGAACATACAGTCGTCTTGGAGTAGATAGAAATCATAAACGTCTTGAAAAAAAGAAAACAAGTTGAGATAATCATTAACATGATAGTAATTCTGTTTTGTAAGGGTTGAAGCATCAGAGACCACGTTAGGGAGGGGTAGTATGAGAAAACTTCTTTCTTAGTCCATACAAAAAACCTGTAAGATTTTACTATTGGAAGGTGATCTCCAGATATGGTTGAATCATATGACATGAGAGGCATCCTCTTCAGTGTCATTTTCCTTTTGGGGGCTGTCGACGGAGTTACTGCTGCTACTACCAGCTAAATTGCAGGATGCCTTCCACTTTCAAACTCTAATAGAAGTGTGGAGAAACTCCCCTCTTCTAGAATAGTTCATTGTAGCTCAAGTAGGCCTGAACTTCCAAAAGAATTTGTTAAATACTTAGAACAACAGAGAAACAAGATGAAAATGTAAAAAATTTCAAGCTTACAAGCCACAGTTTATAATCCTCCCATAGCTAATTTACTCAGTGGCAAACCCCTGTCCTATTAAACATCACTTTGGAGACACGGCTACCACACCTTTACTTCTAAGACCTCATTTAATTTTTAGGAACTTCCTACTTCCTTGCTTTTTAACTCCCAGTTTGCTTTTAAACAAAGGAAACTCTTTACAACCCGTAAGATTGAAAATGATTTCCCAGGGTCCTTGATGGTGGCAAACTAGGATCTTTATGGAGTTCATTTTCTGGTCTGAGAGACACATTTTTTTCCTGAGGTGATTCACAAAACGATGGTGACTGACAGGCTAAATAATCTAAATTCAGGGGGAATTAAGCTATTTTCTTTCTGGGAACAAAATTCTTCCATGACAAGCTTGAGATATAGAAATACCATGTAAGTTATTATGACCTTTCTCTAATAGGAATTATATATTTCATAAAATCAGGAAATGAAGATGCGGTTATCATATTGTTGGGTCATAGTAAGGTAACAATTTGAAGAAATGTTAAGGGTTTAATACGTGACCTAAATGATGAAACATTAAAAAGGGAAGGTGCTCTTATTTAACGTGACATCATAAGCCTGTTAGATTTCTTAAAACATAACCTTATTTTGCCAAAACTAACAAATGTGCCAGCAAATGAACTTTCAATCAGCAGACTTCTTAATTAAAAGAATGTGACGAAAGAGAGGGAGGCGTCAGAGGTGGCTTGAGCCCAGGTCATCCTTCATCCCAAGAGGCATCATGTTGCTTACAACATCAATAAACTTTCTTCTTTAAAAGAATTTAGTCTGCAGGCAGCAAATAAAATTTTATTTTTCCCTCACACATAAAATATATCCCAGACAGACCACCAGCCTGTAGTTAAAAAACAAAAAAACAAACAAACAAAAAACCACCAAAACCAAAAAACAAAAACCTCAGGGTTTATTTGATGTTATAGGTCAGAATATTAAAAGTCCCATGTGGGAAAAAAATTATAAGTGTGTCAACTTCCGTTCAGGAAAGTCATTACAGATATGGGAATATCTCATTGTTTTTCTTTGTTATTGGGGAAGAGAAAGGGTAATGTTTATCAAGAAATCTTTGGGGGTGTCAGGTTATTTGACAAATCCTCTCAAAGGAAACAATCATAGAGTTATCCCCAAACACAGGCCATGTCACTAAGAAATGGAAAAAGAAATCTGAGCCATAATTCCATGGAAGTCATATTCAGAAACTATATATGTTATACAGATTATTTGGGAGAAAGAATCTTCAACCTGTTAGTCAATCAGCGAATATGTGTTGAATGCCTACTGGGCTTTCAGAATGAGTATTCATGGTAGTTTACAGTGTCTGCTCTGTGTCAAGCCATGTGTGTTAGATAATTTGCTGAAGACCACACAGCTAGTAAGAATAGAATTAGGATTTGAAATCAGGATATATGAGTCCAGGAACTATATCCTTTGCTAAGATTTGCTTCTCTTTAAATTTATTGTCCAACCCAGAAGTTCCACCCCTGGACATCTACTTAAGAAAAAGAAAAACATTTACATAAATGTTTGTAAAGTTATTATTTATAATAGCCAAAATTATAGAAATAGTTTAAATTTTCATCAACTGGTAATTAACAAAATGTAGTCTATTCATTTTATTCACCAATAAAAAGAAATGAACTACTGATACCTAATAGAAGACAGATGAGCCTCAAAAACATTTTGCTAACTGAAGGAAGTCATATGCAAAATATCACTGTGGTAGGCAGAATTCTAAGGTAGCCATTAAAATTCCTCCTCCTGGTGCACAGACCCTTTGTAATCCCCACTCTTGGGTTTAGAACGGACCAGTGAATGTGATGGGATAGTCACTGCTGTGCTTAGGTTATGTTATATGGCAAAGGTAAAGAGATTATGCAAATGTAATTAGGTTAATCAAATGGGAAATCACCCTGAGTGGGTCTGAGCTAATTAGGTGGGCCCTAGTAAAGAGAGTCCAGATCTTGTATGAAAAGAGAGGTTCTGAGTGATAGAGATCCTTTTATTGACCTTGAAGGAATCTGTTTCGAGCTGCCTATGGAGGGGACCCTGTGGCAAGGACTCAAGGAGATATAAGCAGTGTCCCGCTGACAGCCAGGAACAAAGTGTGGACTTCAGTCTTACAACCACAAGGAACCAAATTCTTTCAAAAACCTGAATAAATGTGGAAATGGATTCTTCCCTAGTCAAGCCGCAGATATGAACACAGTCTGGCTGACGCCTTGATTATAGCCTGTGAAGACCCTGAGCAGAGGACCTAACTGGCCTGGGCTTCTGTCCTACAGAGACTGTGAGGAAAAATGGGTATTGTTTTAAGCTACTATGTTTGTAGTAATTTGTTATACAGCAATTAAAGTCAGTACACTATATATTATGTCATTATATGTATATGAGATATCTAGAAGAGGCCTCAAAAGCCCTGAGAGAAAATCTCTAGCTCTGGATAGACAAACCAGAATAAATGGGCTTTGCTGTTGCATGAAGAGGGTGTTCAGATGTGTTTGTATGTTGGGGTGGGAGGTATATTGTGTATGAATTGACACAATTCTGAGCTCACCACCAACTTGTGTATGCATGGAACAAATCCAAAGAACAACAGCAAAGGCTTTGGGAAGTGAACAATAAAGCCCAAATTGTAGACCAAACTGATGGCACATGCATGCAGGAGATCCAAACAGCATAGCAATGTCAAAGAGAACTGAACTGCCATTGGAACCACCACCAAAAGATGACGCAGAAGTAGAACTACCTGGGTTGATTGTTTTGCTAAAACAAACAAACAAAAAGCAAACATCCTCCTTCTCCAGAGGTATCTAAGAAGTCAAGGGTACAATCCAAAGTTACTCGATATACAAAAACCAGGAAAATCTGACCAATTTTTATGGGAAACATAATCAACAGATGCTAATTTTCAGGTGACTCGTGTGTTGGAGAGCCTTTAAATCATCTATGTTGATCATCCTTCATGAAGTAAAGGTAAAGTCTGGAATAAATGGAAACATAGACACTTTCAGTAGAGAAGTAGAAATATAAAAAGGAAGCAAGTGAAAATTTCAGAACTAAAAACTATGCGAAATGAAAATTTACTCCATGGGCTCAATAATAAAATTGAGATGACAGAGAAAAGAGTAGGTGAATTTGAAAACAATTCAATAGAATCACAAGGCCAGGGCTTGAAGAAAGATAATGGCAGAAACTTAGACGGGTCATGCAGTATCAATAAGAGTTGAGGGATGGCTGAGTTATCTACAGTCCCTCACTCACCTCTGACCATGCAGAGAACCATGTTGTCAGTTACATCAGCAGCTGATCTCAGCATAGCATGCAGTGACCAGGAAGCAGATTGCTTCAGTGACCAGACACTCTAAAGTATCTCTTTGGACTCTTTGGACAGGAGCAGAGAAACAGGAGAGCAATTTTAAAGAATTAAAGAGCTATTCCAAGGGTCTCTGTGAACTAGCTTTTATAGATTGGATGGATTTAGAATGTGAAGGAAAAAGAAATGCAAAATGGCACCCAGGTGTTAGGTCTGAGCAACTGGTAGATGTCTCACCATTTGCTGCAGTGATGATGAAGGCCTGAGAACTTCCTTCTCAAAGGAGCGGGATGGGGTGGAAGCCAATAGTTGTATCCCTGCCAGGTTAAATTTGTGGTGCCTAATAGATGTTAATGTGCAGTTGTCAAATAGACAGTTGGATCCAAAGTCTGTACCTTGGGGGAAAGTCTGGAAAAGTGATATAAAGTGTTTAAAGTCCAGGAAGACAATGTTAAGAGAAGCCTGAGAGTTGATAGGGAGGAGACAACAGAACAGCAGTTCTATGGACGATGGTCAGAGGTCTTGTAAAGAAAAAAGAAACTAGCAAAGGCAGGGGCATGATGGTATAGCTAATGCCAGCATATCTTCCACAGGAAAGGACTTAAAATATTTGAGGTATTTATCACAGTCTGGAGGTAAAACATACTCAGCTGAGATAAAATTCCATACAAATGAGAAAATTGATAATGTTTGTGATTTAAGTAATCTTTTTGGCATTTAAGAAAGGAGAAATGAGAAAACTATGCTTAGAAAAACTATGAGAATCAGATACTCACATTCTGTTTATTTCTACCAGAACTTGATGAATCTGGGACAAAAGCCTCCAAATGGAACAGCTGGAATACAATATCCATCACACACACTGTGGAAGCTGGAGCTCCCATAGCTTTTTATCCCATGTATTAATAAGTCTTGGGGATGTAAAAAGACAAAATTTAGTTAGGATAATGTCATGTACTTCTATGTGGGATTATGAATCCTTAATGTTATTGTCTGTACTGATGTTTGTTGGACTAGGAAGAGGCAGCTGGCTCTCTGTGGTTTTCAAAAGAAGATATCCACCTCACCAGGCTATCACAGTGAGAAAAATTTTAAATGCATAAATGAAGATGGATCATTTTCCCAGTCCCATTGCTTCTCTTTGTGGTGCTTTTTGCCCTGAGATTACACAAATGGATGGTTTTATGGCCACTGAATGTAGAACAGCTGTAGAAACAATATATCATACAACAAGAAATTGTTCAGAAATGAGGGGGATTATAGAAACATTATCTGTCTAATGCTGTCAAGTTCAAATGCTACATGTGTCACCCTACCCCCATACAGCACAGACTGGTCATGTAAGTTAGAAATACCCTAGAGCTACTTTTAAATTACAGGCATAACTCCTTAGAATATTATTGGCATTGTGCATTTCTTTTTTTTTCTTCCTTTGTTTTGTTTTTTCTTTTTCTTTTTAAATTTAGTTTGTACTGGATGCAAAAGAAAAAAAAAACTTTTCTGTTATCTTTTGTCATTTTCTTCAGATCTTTTCTCTGAAACTAGGGCCAACTTAGCATGCCCTGGTGTGAGGCCAAGCTACCAGTATATCAACCCATTGCACCAGCGTCATCAAAGATGCAATTTCCTTGCAATCCGCTAATTTTCAAAACGATGTAGTTTTACAGTCATTCATAACAAAACCCCAGGAGCGTGAAACAATATTGAAATTAAGCTTAGTGTGTGAAAACATTATGTGCTTTTCTTCCAACCCCTCTGCATTTATGTCTCTGTTCTCTGAGTGATAACACTGCTATAAAACCTCACAGCTACACTGGAGTGTGTCACTTTGCTTATACCTAGGGGTGTGAGGCCCTTGTCAATCTTGGCTCTTGCAATGCTAGGAGCTGATTAAAGTGTGCTGGCTTGCTCTGTGCTTGGTTCCTTCCTGTGTTTCCACTGTCATTGCCAAATACCAGCAGTCACTGACAGGACTCCCTGGTCTGCCTCTGCCAAGTGAAATGTTTTGAAATTAAAAATCTGAAGAAATGGTGCAATGAGTGCTTGATCAGGTGGTTTCTCCTTAGGAAATTGCTTAATGGGGGAAATTCAGCACAACCTCCCAGTGGCAGCTCCAACACAAAACTTGAATTTAAAGAAACAGGATTTCTTTCTTAAATTAGACAAATATACTCATGTGCCTCAAAGTGAGGACCTTTGTTTCTTGAGATAGATATTTATTTTGGAAAAATGTTTACTGCATATCTGATTCTAAATGTAATACTAGTCGAAGTGTAATACATGCTCGTCCTAGGATATGTTGGAGAGTATACAAAAACTATACAGGAGGAAATAAAAATGATCCATAATCTCACCAAAATTTCGGTCATACTATATCGGTATTCCATTCCATCCATTTTAAATTTGAGATGCCTAATGGATGTCAATGTGCAGTTGTCAAATAGACAGTTGGATCCAAAGTCTGTAGCTTGGGGGAAAGTCTGGAAAAGTGATATAAATCTGAGAGCCACCATCACCTAGATGGTGTGTCAAGTCCAGGAAGACAATATTAAGAGAGAGCTGAGAGTTGACAGGGAGAAGACAACAGGACAACAGTTCTGTGGATGATGGTGAGAGGCCTTGTAGAGAAAAAGGAACTAGCAAAGGCATGTGCGTGATGGTATAGCTAATGTCAGTGTATCTTCCCCAGGAAAGGACTTAAAATATTAGAGGTATTCATCACAGTCATACTCAGTTGAGAAAAATTCCACAGAATTGAGAAAATTGCGAATGTTTGTGATTTGGGCAATCCTTAGAAATATATATATGTATATTCCAATATGCCTAGAGCATTTTCCAGGATTATTAAAGGATCTATGAAACTATGTTAATATTTGTATAATAGTCCATTGTATGGAAGTACCAACAACGATATAATTTATTTCTCATTATTGAATATCTAAGTACTTTTCCTCTTAACTTTACGCCATTAAAAATTATAAACAACATTTTATATGTAATTTTTGGTTCACATACATGATACATTTCTTAGGTTCATTTTTTGGAAGTATGATCACTGAGTCAAAAGATCCAGAAATCTAGAAGACCTAATATCAAACTACCCTCTAGAAATGCAATAGCTTATATTATCACTAGCAGCATAGGGAAGTAAACATTCTAACTCAACATTGCCAGCACTGAGCATCATTCTTTTTTAAAAAAATTACCTTTGCTAATTTGAAATAAGTTGCTATTATCTTAATCTGTATTTTTTATTGCTATGAACCTAAAGTTTTCCACATATTTAACGCCTATTTGCATTTCTTCTGTGAATTATTCACTTATGATACTTGCTTTTTTTTTGTATTTGATTGTTAGTGATTTTTAAAAATTTATCAGAGATCGTTATAGACCTCAGCTATACTATTTTTCTGTTGCTATAATTTTTTTTGTTACAAACATGTTTTCCGTTGTCACTGACCTTTCAGTAAGAACTATGATTTTTTTAAGTGAGCTTTAATTCTTAGTAACTGAAGTTTTTCTTTCTGAAGTCTTTCAGAATTTCATTGCTTTTATGATTCTTAAGTCTTTTTCCTCTCCAAAATTAAATAGTCTAAAAACATTGCTAATTTGTAAAAATAGCTTTACTTCAAACATTTAAAACTTTGACATACCTAGGAATTTATTTTGGTGTGTGGTATCATGAGAATCCAGTGAAGAATCTCTTCTCTATTAGTCATGCTTCTCTCTGATATTAAAGATAGACACACACACACACACACACACACACCTTTATGTGTGTATATATACACATAAACATATATACATACATATATACACAAACATATATACATACATAACCTACACACACTAGGACCTATTTGGGGGCTAGTTTATCATGTCCATTATCAATGCTTATAGACTGTAATATTTTAATATTTCTTAATTTGTTGTTTATAGTCATAAGTCCTAATTTGTTGTGTATAGTCATACAGTCCTCACTGTCAATGTCTGACCATCGTCCATAGAACTGTTGTCCTGTTGTCTTCTCCCTGTCAACTCTCAGCAATCTTAACATTGTCTTCCTGGACTTGACACACCATCTAGGTGATGATGGCTCTCAGATTTATATCACTTTTCCAGACTTTTCCCCCAAGCTACAGACTTTGGATCCAGCTGTCTACTTGAAAGTTATTACATATGCTTGCCTATTTTTTCTTTTAGGTGAACTAAGAGGACCATATCGTCAGGGTTATAAAGAAAAATGTCATCAGGATTTTAATGGGATTTGCTTTAAAACTAAAAGCAGTTCTCCCTTGGCACAGTTAATTGAAATTCATACCAAAGCAAGGATTTTGCTCTCATATACATACGTTTTAGTTAACCGAGTACTGTGTAGGGTGAGAACTGCTTGTATAACTTAATTTGTGAATCTATTTTAAAGATAATCTTCTAATTCAGGTACATTAATCCCCAAAACATTTATAACTTGCATTCTGTATTCCAAGCATATTAATCAATTAATATTTTCTTTTGTAAGTCTCTCAAGGAAATGGCATTGTATTCCTTATATAGATTGGATACATTTTAAGATACACCCTAGTTATTTTAAATTTACTTTAAATGAAATCTTTATTTACATTAGATCATTTAACTGCTTTTTCTCTTAAATAGAAAAATTACTGATTTAGCAGGATGTTTGTGTTGTATCTGATTTCTTTTTTGTACTCTGCTGCTAAAGCAAAAATAGACCTTTTTTTTTTTTTTCCTATTTATGCCCTTTAGTTTTCTGGAAGAATAAGGCAATTCCTGCCCACCTCTTATTCTCCAGTGATTTTATTCCTTCTTTTCAGTTCATGTCTCATTGAATGAAATTTTCCATAATTTTATAACACATTTAAACAGCACAAGTGATATCAAATATCACTTACTTGCTCTTTAATTTAAATTGAAGTCTCTCCTGTGTTTCGTTGCTAGGGAATTATGTTGGCTCTTGATTTAAGGTAAATAATCATTTTTGTGTTAAGTAAGAATCCCTTTCTTTCTACTTTTATTAGAATTTATTTATATTTATTTATTTATTTATTTATTTTTCTTGAATGGTGTCTTGCTCTGTCACCCAGGCTGGAGTGCAATGGCGCGATCCTGGCTCACTGCAACCTCTGTCTCCTGGATTCAAGCAATTCTCCCTGCCTCAGCCTCCGGAGTAGCTGGGACTACAGATGCCTGCCATCATGCCCAACTAATTTTGTGTGTATGTGTGTGTTTATTTTTTTAGTAGAGACAGGGTTTCACCATGTTGGCCAGGCTGGTCTCAAATTCCTGACCTCAAGTGATCCACCCGCCTTGGCCTCCCAAAGTGCTGGGATTATAGGCGTGAGCCATGCCTGGCAACTTTTCTTAAGAATTTAATGAAGAGTATTTTTAGAATATTGTTGAATATCTTTTTAATTTTGTTGAGGTTTCAGAATATATTTTCCTTTCAACTTATTGATGTAGATACTATGGTAACATATTTACCAATACTGAAATAATTTTGTGTTTTGAAGCGAAACCTCCTTGGTTGAGAGAGAAAATTCTTTTGTTACACTACCAAATACTTTCCCTAATAATTATTAAGGTTTAAAATATGACTTAGTAATAGGTGAGTTGGAGCTATCATTACTTTTTAATCTATATTTGGTTTGGATTTTATGATTATACTACTTCTGTAAAAATTACCTTTCTGTGATCAGGAAATATTTAAATACCATGAGAATAATTTCATTTTTGAAAAATATTATATAGTAATCACTAACAAATTGCTCTTGTATAGAGCCTTTTTGAAATAATTTTGATAGTATGTTCAGTTTCTTTCTTGGTTATTGCAGTTTTCTTCTTGTTGTTTCTTTGGCTCATTTGGGGGAGATTTATATTTTTTCAGAAGATTTTCATCTTTGTTGAGACTTACAAATTTAGTGACAGAGTTATATGTCATTACATTAATAGAAAACATCTCCATTTTCAGGACCTGCATGTGTCTGGTGTACACACTTTCTTGCCATTATAACCTCCTCCCCCACAATGCTGTGAGTTATTTCTGCATACCCTCAAGGAGTCCTGGGTATTCAGAAACAAGACCTGTCAACTCATGGCACCTGATGTTACTGTTTGCCTGCCTTGGCCTTCTGGGGCTGACAGGTGTGCACCCAGCTCGTCTTCTCCATTGAGTACCACTCTTGCAAAACCCAGTATCTCCCTCTAGGTCTGCCTACTTCTACTAGCCAACACCATTTCTCCTGATATTGCTGCTAATTCCCTCTAATCACTGATGCAGATTCATAAGTTCTGATGTCCTCAGACACAAAATTATTAATAGAATTGGAATTTAAGAGGTAACTTTCTACCTTCTTTGGTATTACACTCTTCATAAGGATACCCAGGAAACAGCAGACAAGAATCTCGTTCAAGATGTCTGGGGTGGCCCCCTGACCATTGCACTTGTTTAACACACTCTCGAAATAAACCTGAGGCACTACATGTGACTTCAGTTTGAATTGACACAAGGCCGGAATTGAAGACAAGTCAGGATGAATAAGACCATGCTATCCCCAGAACTAGTTCTTTCTGTTGACCAAGGCTTTGTTAATGGACAAGGCCTGCCTTCCTTTGCATGAGTACCTCCTGAAGACACTCCTCAGCTCCCTCTGTAAATAGACTTCTGCAATCCTAGTGCACCAATTGGCTAAACGGGTCCCATTATTGTCAACCCAGAGGAAAGTAGGCACAACTTGGTAGAGAACTTAGCTTCTTCCACTACATGTAACACATTCTCTTTCTTGTTTGTAAATTAAATCACATTTATTTTTACCTATTTTTCCTCCCTTGCCTAGATTAGACAAGAATTATCTGTCTTCTTTTGTCCTGTTCACACGTGTCCTTGATGGTTTAATGTATAAATTTTATTTATTTGATTTTTACTTTTATATTTGTTTACATTTTCTTTAAGTATGTTCTTTTTTCTAACTTGATTCTTTTTTTTTTTTTTTTTTGAGATGGAGTCTCACCCTCTTGCCAAGGCTGTAGTGCAGTGGCATGATCTCAGCTCACTGCAACCTCCGCCCGCCCGGGATTGGAGCGATTCTCCTGCCTCAGCCTCCTGAATAGCTAGGATTATAGGTGCCTGCCACCATGCCAGGATAATTTTTGTATTTTTAGTAGAGATGGGATTTTGCCATGTTGGCCAGGCTGGTCTCGAACTTCCGACCTTGTGGTCTGCCCACTTCGGCCTCCCAAAGTGTTGAGATTACAAGTGTGAGCCAGTGCGCCCAGCCTCTTACTTGATTTTTAAATTAGGCATTTAAAACATTTGTGTTCATCAATCTGTCTGTAAGTATTTACAAATTATATTTCAGTGTATGTTTTTCGACTGTTATTTTCTAAAATTGTAGTTTTGATTTCCTGTCTGACCTACTGTGAATTTAGAAGATGCTATTTGTTGTTGTAGTGTTATGCTTTAAATTTCCAAACAGTTTTATGCTTTTCATTTAAATTTACATGATTAATTCCTAGCTTATTGTATTGTATGAATGTATGTGTTTTGTATATTTTTCACTGAAAATTTTATTGAGGCTTTCCTTCATGGTCTAACACATGATTATTTCTATAAATGCTCAATGTATGCTTGCAAAAGGTTTATCCACTGGGCGCGGTGACTCATGCCTGTAATCCCAGCACTTTGGGAGGCTGAGGTGGGTGGATCATGAGGTCAGGAGATCGAGACCATCCTGGCCAACATGGTGAAACCCTATCTCTTCTAAAAATACAAAAAATTAGCCGGATGTGGTGGCGAGTGCCTGTAGTCCCAGCTACTTGGGAGGCTGAGGCAGGAGAATGGTGTGAACCTGGGAGGTGGAGCTTGCAGTGAGCGAGATTATGCCACTGCACTCCAGCCTGGGCGACAGAGTGAGACTCTGTCTCAAAAAAAAAAAAAAAAAAAAAAAAGAAAAAGGTTTATCCTCTGTTTGTGGTATTTACAGTTTGATTTTTTTTGAGTATCCATTAATTCAATTCTTATTTATACTAATAAATACCTATGTCTTTGTTTTGAACACTTGAAATATCAAAAACTCAATTGAGTGTTTAGGAGTTCTACTGTGATGATATTATGGCTGTCCTATATTTGTAAGAATTTTGGATTTATAATTCTAGAGCTAATTAGCAATCAGGGCCATGATTTTACCTTTGCGGGATATGGAATGATTCATTTTTTTTTTTCTTACCTCAAAGACTATTTTGTGTGCAATTGGAATTTCCACACATACTGTTTTTATGCTTTTGTGAATCTTTTTCAGTATAGTAATACTAGATGTAAGTGCACATTTGGAGAAAAACTAGCAGAGTTTAAATATTAACTGTGCCTCCTTAACTAAATGAGTAAGTCAGTTAGGATCGTTTAGCTGAATCCAACTCAAATGAGTTTGACTTCATTCTTCATCATGCTTCATTTCTTTGAAATTCCTCTTCTGCGTCTCCTCTATATGTTAGCTTCATCCTCAGGCTGGCCTTCTTATGCAAAGGATTATTGAAGTTTAAGACTTAGTCTCCATAGACTAGTATGTCTTGTCTTCAGGAGCAAGAATACTTTATTGGTCACTTTGATAACTTAATAAAAGACAGAAAGAGCAGAAATCAACAGCAACCGACGATAATACCACTTACATATTGGATGAGGGCATCCCGTTAAAGCAATTAGAAGAGCATTTGGCACATTGCAAGCACTCAATAAATAAAAGTGCTATTATTATTAACCTTTTCACATTGCTTTTTATTTCCTTGAGAGCAGCTTGTATTTCGATTTTAAAAATCTAGTCTGAATCCTGCTCTCTCAATAGAAGAATTTATACTGTTTTCTATTATTCCCAGAATTTCCATTTACTAATTGGTTCTGTCATCGTGTTTTATAAACACTGGGCATTCTGTCTTCCTTTCCATTTCCTTGGTTCTGTGTCTTTTGCTATCTTAGCTGTATGCAGTTTCTTATTTCTTGATAATTGTTGAAGTACAGCTGCTATTTTTTAAATTTCATAAGTGGCTACATTTAAGATTAAATTTAGCTTGTGCTTATGAATAATATCTAAATTTAAGATTAAATTTGGCCTGTTTTTATGAATAATATCTCTGTAAAGATCTGTGTAAGAATATAACATAGAGACACTTATCTCTCCCTATGCGACAAGAAGACAAAACACGCTTTTTTTCCTCCATTTCCTGGTGTTTGTTCATATGAACCTGGGTAATTGAAGCAAATCAGTGGTTTTTTTTTTTTTTAATGTAGTTTAGCTTATTTTTCAAGATTCAGAAGACCATGAGCTTCCCATGTGTCCCTTTGGCCACATCTCCTTGCTGCTCCTCCATGCTAGCGTTCTTTCCCACTAGGAACTGAGCAGTGCTTATCTCCTCTCCCCTCACTGCCATGCCACTCAAGAAGATAAAATATGAAGAAAATTTTCCAACAGGAAACAGTCTGGAAAATGCAACTGGACACAATGAAGACATCAATTGATGTTATTTTGCTCAGCAGTTTGCTCACGTGTTTTTAGAGGACTTCATTCCAAAAAGAACCGTAACTTTTCCCTTCAATACACAAATGGTCCAGTAAAATTATTTCCCCAAGAGAAAAGAATCATCTTATTTCCAATGTGAATTTAAGTATGTACAGTAAGAGAAACACAAAAGTGATATTTGGCCTTTAAAATGAAGCTTTCCTTCTCATTGTTTCTACTTGAATGTGTGAGTGTATAGTTCAAACAAATATGGTCCCATATGAAAGGGGAAAGAGGATGAATTTTAAAAAATCATAAAAGAGGACCACATTGTTTATCATTTCATTCTATATGTGCCAAAGTCCTGAAATAAGAAGACACCATGAGGTAGCGTGTCCTTAGGAAGTCTACCACACAGTAGGTGAGATATGACGTTCATGCCATGGCCTCAATTTCTAAATTTTAAAGAAATGTAGAATTTAAGTGTGGCGAGAAATCAGGGAAAGGAAAAAAAATCAGATATTTTGGAAGCAACCAAGCTGATGGTGATAATAGCAGGATTTTAAAAAATATGTTTAAAACTGAATTTGAATGTAGCTATTCATTGGAGATCTTTGCACATACACATGTAGGTCCAAGGTAGGTAGCTTCCAGCAGAGGAAAACAGCATTCAGCATGCAACTAAGAATATAAAGCAAAATATAAGAGACATTCAATCTTGAGATACATATTTAGAGGAAATGTGCATAGAAGTGGCAGTTACTTTAAGGAGGGAAACCCAAGATCTAATATAAAGAAATCACATGTCAATAGCAGTGAAATAATGAGTCTCAGATTATTTTGGAATCCTGCCTAGAAAAAAAACAATCAGGTTATAAATATTTGTTACATTTACTCTAAATTATTCTGCAAACAAAATTCTAACATAAATGTAATGCATTGAATGTTTATATGTTCTTGGAAGCTTATGATTATTAATAACATATTCCCTTCGAAATTACTTAAGTATAATTACCTAGTTTCTAAAAAGAATAATTATTCCAAGATAATAATAAAAACAAAACTACAGACTTAATTTCACTCATTTTGTCATGTTTCATATTTGCATAACCATCCAAAGTAAGCTATAATTTTCATATTCCTAATGGGAAAATTTAGGCTCAGGCAGCTTAATGTTAGTGACTAAAATGACATTCAAACCTGGATCTTTCTCGTCAGAGTCCAGTAAGTGTTCATTTTCACTGTATTATACTTAATGATGTCAAAATAGTTCCATGAAAATGATTAGTTTTTCTTAGGAGCAGATGCTTTCCAATAATCATTAAAATAAAACATAGCAGCTACCTACAAATAATCACATCACCTGGACCCAGATGATATTGATCTGTCACATGACAAAAAAGGCAGGGATTAAAATTATACAGAAAATCCAGGGTAACATATCTCATGATATAGCAGTATAGCATGATAAGATATCTAATGATTGAACAATGTTCAATCATTAGTCATGATTGAAAAATGGATGAAAATACAGATATAGTCTTTTGTGAATCAATGAAGCTTCTATCCCTATATTTCATCAAGTGCCCTTTCTCAATGCTGTTGCAGTTACCATGACTTCTTCAAGGTTACATTGATCACACAGTTGATATTGCTGGAAGCTGTGTTTTGAATGTGCAATTTTGGCTCATTAATGAAGGAGCTTCTGCAGGTCATTGCAAGGGGTCAATGAAACTAAAATCCTACTAATAAGACATTACGGAACTATGAACCTGCTTGACTCTTTAAAAAAAAAATCATTGAAAGTTCCAAATATCCTTGACAGTGAATCTGGCATTAATTGAGCCGTTTGCTCTGTCCAGCTCTGCAGTAAATACCTTGGAGGATATAAAGACATATAAAGTATGTAGTAAAGAAGCTTACTAGCCAGGAGTGTAAGACAAAAATTAAACACATAAAACAATCATAGAGCAGAATAACAGTTACAATTAATTGCCCAATTGCTTGGTATGGTTTAGAAGCATATATATAACCTTTGAAAAAAATATGTATGTTTATATGATATGAGACATTTCTACATATCAAAAAGTTTCAGAGGTAACAACACTTCTCAAAGAGTTTGTTTATATCAGAGGATTTATTTGCCTCCAAATGAATCAGTTTTATTGTCACCTGAGGAAGTGTTGGAAGCAAATAGTCCTTAGAATTTAGCCCAATAAAAAGAGTGCACTGATAAATTTCTTCTGGCCCTTTGGCACAGCTGTTCTGCGTATATCAAATGTGATCAACAGGTCTCATAAGACCATGCTCCAGATCACTCCTCTCCACAACAACACAGGAAAAGCCTGTATATGTGAGGTTGCTTGCTTTGCTCCAACATCAAACATCATGGAAATAATGCATATTTTGAAGAAAGTTTTCTTTTTATCAATGCTGTCCTTATTCACATAACATGCTTTTGGATGTGCCTGGAATACAATAGGGTACGCAATATTTAATTGAGGCAATGAGTAATAGTAAATGACATCAGCTTATTTCTGATAATGCTTGCAGATGTGTAGATACCTTATGATGGAAGAAAGGCACTGATAAAATATAGCACCTTGATTTTTAGGAAGTAATTAAAGTAAGGGAAGTTGCTAATGAGGAGATACTATGAGCTGATAATTTTTTGAATTCCAACCTTTAAGTCAAAAATGACATAAAAAACTATGATTTCAAAAATGGGAATGATGGTTTATCACTTAATGGGCAAAAAATCTTGGGGCAGCCCTCGGATAACTTGTTGCAGAGAACAGAAATCCCATGGATAGTTTAAGAAAGAAAGAAATAAAGGCAGATCATGGCTAAGAGGGAATCTGAGAAATACAGTCTTAGGTTTTCCTCTCCTGTATTCCTAGAAGGCACATGGTTAGTGTCTGGAGTATATGTTGAGTGAACCAGTCTGTCAGATCTGCCCAAGAGCTTCATGCAGTATAGTCAATTGATCTAAATTTAGATCAATTAAAAGACTGATGGCTAAGAATCATTTATGAGTTGTTTGGGGTTTGGGGGATATTATTCTATAATCTAGCTTTTGCTAGCATATAGCAAGAATAAATATATGAACTTTGTTAAATACTCATTCATCTAATAAATACTAGGCAAACATAATTTTAGTGATTTGGAGGAAAACAAAGATAAATCAAATAAACGTTCTGCCTTTAAGGTGCTTTTGTGGGGAAGGTGTTGAATTTTGAGCCTTTGGATAATTAGTCCGGGATGGCTTTGTAGTTGACAGTCATGAACTCTATGACATTCTATTCATACATATTTATTTTGGGATGTAGTAGAATTGTTTCCCAGTTAACATCTTGTTTTGAATATTAAGCTTGGCCTAGGAGAGTTGGAAGATAAACAAAGACCACTTTCCTGGACAATAGGTAGTCAGAATATGTTTTCAATGACTTGGTTAAATAGTGAAGTATTCATTATTGTGTAGTTTATGTATGGTTTGATTGAATTATTATTTACTGAATTTATGAGTTATTATTCACTATTTGATAAAAAACAGATAAAAAGTAAATCTATCTAGTTTGAAAGTCAGCCAGCTCCTGGTCTGAGCTCTAAAACTAACTCCAGATGAATTGCCCTTACAGTAATCAGATCCAGCGTCTCTGGCTGATCTCTATTAGATTCTGGAACATATACTAGGCCAAATGGGCCATTCTGGGTGGTAGAATGTGACAAAACAAAATCATAAGCAATGGGCTTTGCCACACAGAGTGCTGAAGTGTCAGGTTTTTTCACATTCTGTGTCTCAGGCACCCACCAAGCAGGAGATTTGCGATGAATAGCACCCATATTGATTTTTCCATAATGGAGTGTAAAAGAAAAATGGACAGGTTTTGTTGCAGGTATTTTCATGGGGTACTAAATTGGAGGATTAGTTGCAAACAGCAGTACTGATAAAGTCTGCTGTCCATCTTGATGGTTGGGTCTTTCTATTAAAATGACACATAAATAACCTATTATATCCCCCACCCATGGAAATTCAAATGCACCTGTCAACTTGATAAAGCACTTGCCTGGAGGGAAGCATTGTTTACATTTTCACTCCATTTTTCAGAAAAAGTGAGATTCTAATTATTTCTCCCGCTGTAAATTAATGCTGACTATGATGGTTGGCATATCTCTGTATTGTTACATCTTTTAGAAAGTTAAATAATAGAACTGATCCATCATGCATTATGCAATGTGTATTTTATGACAGCCTTCCCTGGGCTCGTTCATCTCCTCTCTATATAAATGCTCATTTCTTTTCTCACTTGTGTGCTTTCTGAATCTTTCTTTCTCTTTCCTAGCCCTTGAGAAATCCTTGTTTGATATCCAGTTAGTTCCAAAACTTTCACACTCGTTAGTCCACCTTGTTTTTTCCTTTATTGAAAAATACATTTATGATTTTCATCTGACAACTACCTGTTTTCAATGAACATACACTAATACGTGATATTTATTCTTCTCTTTGGGTATTTTATGCATTTTATGTACATGTGATATGTCATTAGACATGATATGTCTAATGACATATCATTTGATTATATTCAGAATTTCTACCTTTTAAGCAATCAGGTTAATTTTCTTCAGAGTAATTTACCTTTTCTCTGTTCTTGTTATCACTTGGTGAATATCTTAACATTTCTTGGTTAACACTTGGGATAATTACATTAAATTATGCACCTTATAATAAGCTCTTACAACTATCCCCAACTTATTATATATATTTCTCCTTCAAGTAATTCTTCTATCTGATCTTTCCCCACACTTCCTAATCTCTACCAAAAAATAATTTCTTCATGGGCAGACAGCACATAGAAACACATAGTCCCTACAAGTTCCTATAACAACCCAATAACCCAATAACAGTTACCTAAGGTAACTGAGAATATAATGTTAACTTATAATTCTGAATCCAGACTTTTCTGGTGTTTCCTGTATATACTCATTAATATATTTATCAATTGAGTGTTGTATTCATTAAACTCTATGTGTCCACTAGATGACCTTGGACTTAAAAGCCTGAAAGATAAAAATTCAAGGGATCAAAATTGCAGCTGCTGCCCATCTAAAGATTCCTGCTTAGCCATTATGAGAATTATGGCTGAGCAGAATGCCATGCCTCTTGCACTCTGAGCACAGCCTCCCCAGCTATTTTCTTAGTATCTCTAGGGGGTGAATTGATTCCCCAGTGGATCTTCTTCCTCAGTTTATAAATTTCAAGCCAATCTCTAGCTTAATCTTCTCTAATGCTTATTTCTTTCCACAAGTGAATTCCTGGCAGAGTTCAAGATATTATACCAAAAAAAAATCACTGGTAGACCTAAATTAAGCATTTTCAATATAAACAATTTTAAAATCTGTAAATATCCTTCTATTTAGCTAATTTAGCAAAAGCTAAATTAATGGCAACCCCCTTTAGCTAAAAATAGTAAATCGATTTCATAAGTTCATTATTTTGAATGTACAAGTTTTGAAATCAGTTTTTAATAATCAATTTATATATCTTTAAAACCTATATTCAATTATCCCATCAATCAATCAAGGGATACTGTTGTATTTTCAGAGTTTCTACATGCTAAATGATTTTTAAAATATCTGAGTCTATTAGCTGTCAATTATCATTTTACTTATAGTTCTTTTAGACTATGGTAAAACTTATATCTGTTACAGTGAAAATTGGAACATTAGTTTTATCTCCTTTCTGTCTTCATTCTTGCAAAGGAAACGGGTGGATTAAATGTCCTACTTAACATTTTTGGTTCTTTTAGTACACTTAAGGGCATTGTACTCTTTCGGAATAAAATGAAGGTGAAGGAAAAAATCTGTTTACCAATATGTTTATCATGGTTTTCTGATGTATAGGCACCCAAAAGTGAAAATATTAACTTCATGTAATATGATACCCGTCAATCTTGGATTTCCTATGCATTCCCATTCTAGTACTTGTTCATTATTCTGATACACTGTACTGTATTTCAGAGATTGTGATTATCTTAGAAATTATTGGGTCCAATATGGATGCTCCTTGACTTACAATGGGGCTATGTCCAATAAACCTATCCAAATTGAAAACACCATGAGTCAAAAATGCATTAAAAACACATAACCTGTTGAACGTAGTTTAGCCTAGCCTACCTTAACGTGCTCAGAACACTTACATTAGGCTACAGTTTGACAAAATAATCTAACACAGTGACTGTTTTATAATAAAGTGTTGAGTATCTCATAATTTATTGAATACTGTACTGGAGTGAAAAGCAATAGTTGTATGGGTACTCGAAGTACAATTTCTACTGGATGCATATCACTTTCACATCATTGTAAAGTTGAAAAATCATTAAATCAAGCCATCATTAAATCAGAGACCATATGTACTTCATTTCATTGGTGAGGAAAGTAAAAAAACATCAAGAACTTGCCCTAATGATAAGAATCTAGATCTAGAATTTTATTTTCATAACTACTGCAGAAGACTGTTCCAGAGATCAGGAAGGATGAAAAGCTGCAAGCATGAGCAAATGTAATCAATAGTTTATTAATATTAACATAAAAATAAATGTTAAAAATAACATTATCTATATTTACAGCATTTATGATCACACTATGACTAATCAAACAAACAATCCAGAAATCTGGGTTGATAGATATTGTTACATTATCATCTGACCTCTGTCTGTTTTTGTTTTTGAAGAGAAGTCAGAGGTCATTTACATTCATTTCCCCTGTATGTAATGTGTCTTTTTTCCCTTGGTTGATTTAAGTCTCTGTTATTTATCTCTGGTTTTCAGCTGTTGGACTCTGATTTGTCTAGGTAAAGTTCTTTGTGGTTTTATGCTGCTTTGCTTTGTAGGAAGTGATCTTCAACTTAGTTGGGATGTTTTCAGTTATCATTTATTAAAATATTTTTTCAGCTCTAATCTCACCCCCTTTTCCATCTGTAATTTTAATTGCATTTATGCTGCATTATTTAATATTTTACATGCTTCTGATGTGCTTTTTTATTTTCTTTAGTATTTTTTCTCTGTTCTTCAAATTGAGTAATTTCTTTAGATCTGTCTTCAAAATCACTGGACCTTTTTTTTCCGACATCTGCAATTGGTTGTTAAGCCAAGTCAATGAATTTTTCATTTCAGTCATTGTAGTTTTTATTTCTGAAATTTCTATTCAGTTATTTTTCATAGTTTTTGTTTCTCTGCCGAGATTCTTTATCAGGCTACTCATTAGGATCATATATTTTTTAAATTCTTTGAATATGCTTTTCTTGGTTCTTTAAACAATTACAAAAGATGCTTTAAAGGCTCTGTTTTCTAAATCTAATATCTGGACCATCTCAAGGTTGATTTTTATTTATTGCTTTTTCTCTTGATGCCTCATTTTCTCATTTTATTTATTTATTTTTGCTTTTGCATGTATTGCATTTCACATATTATGTGTTTTAAGATATATAAACTCTGAATTCAATTACCTTTCCATGAAATGTGTTTCTTCCATGAAGAGTGTTTCCATGAATTGTGTTACCTTTCCATGAAATGTGTTTCTTCCATGAAGAGTGTTTCCATGAAGTGTGTTACCTTTCCATGAAATGTGTTTCCATGAAGTGTGTGTTCTTCTTCTTGTTTTATCAGATAGTTAAATTCTTGAATGGTCACCTTGAACTTCTGTGATTTTGGTTTAAATTTCACTAGGAAAAAAACTGAGGAAAACACAAAGTATGTCCTAAACTCCTCTAACTTGAGGGATCTCAAGCTCCAAATGCAGTCTCCAGTGTGAACCTGGCCCATTGAGTGCCTCTGGCTTTTCCAGATGCCCAGTGCAAGCTATTGATGGATCTACTATTTTGGGGCCTAGAGCACAGTGGCCTTCTATATTCACAGCCCCACTAGGCAGTGTCCCACTGGGGACTCTGTGTGGAGGCTCCAAGCCCACATTTCCCCTCAGCACTGCTCTAGTAGAGATTCAACATGAGGGCTCTGCCCCTGCAGCAGACTTCTGCCTGGACATCCAGGTGTTTCATACATCCTCTGGAATCTGGGTGGAAGCTTCCCAGCCTCAACTCTTGCCCTCTGCACACAGAGGCCATGAAGGCTTATGATTTGTACCCTCTGAAGCAATGGCCCAAGCTGTACCTTGGCCTCGTTTAGCCACAGCTGGAGCTGGAACAGCTGGGACACAGGGCTTCATCTCCTGAGACTGAGAGCAGCGAGGTCCTGGGCCTGGCCCCCCAAACCATTTATTTCTCCTAGGCCTCTAGGTCTGTGATGGGAGGGCCTGCAATGAAGGTCTCTGAAATGCCTTGGAGGCATTTTCCCCATTGTATTGGCTGTTAACATTCAGTTCCTCTTTACTTATACAAATTTCTGCATCAGGCTCGAACTCCTCCCCAGAAAGTGGGTTTTTCTTTTCTACCGTATGGTCAGGCAGCAAATTTTCCAAACTTTTATATTCTGTTTCTCTTTTAAATATAAGTCCCAGTTTCAGATACTCTCTTTGTGCACACATATGAGTGTACACTTTTAGAAGCAGCCAGGGCACATCTTGAATGTTTTGCTGCTCAGAAATTTGTTCTTCCAGATACCCTAAATCATCTCTCTCAAGTTCAAAGTTCCACAGATCCCCAGAGCAGGGGCACATGCCACCAGTGTCCTTGCTAAAGCATAGCAAGATTGACCTTTACTCCAGTTTTCAATAAGTTCCACATCTTCTTCTGAGACTATCTCAGTCTGTACTTCATGGCCCATGTCACTATCAGCATTTGGTTACAATTTAACATGTCACTAGGAAGTTCCAAACTTTCCCTCTTCTTCCTGTCTGCTTCTGAGCCCTCCAAACTGTTCCAAACTCTGCTCATTATGCAGTTCCAAATCTGCTTCCACATTTTCAGATATCTTGTTTTTTTTTTTGAGACAAAGTTTTGCTCTTGTTGCCCAGGCTGGAGTGCAATGGCATGATCTTGGCTCACTGCCACCTCTGCCTCCCGGGGTCGAGCAATTCTCCTGCCTCAGCCTTCCGAGTAGCTGGGATTACAGGTATGTGCCACCATACCTGGCTAATTTTGTATTTTTCATAGAGATGGGGTTTCTCCATGTTGGTCAGGCCTGACCTCAGGTAATCTGCCCGCCTTATCCTCCCAAAGTGCTGGGATTATGGGCATGAACCATGGTGCCCAGCATCAGATATCTTTCTAGCAATATCCTACTTCCCTGGTACCAATTTTCTTTATTAGTTTGTTCTCCCAATGCTATAAAGACATACTTGAGACTGGGTAATTTATAAAGAAAAGAGGTTTAATCCACTCACAGTTCTTTGGGTTGTATAGGCTTCTGCTTCTGGAGTGGCCTCAGAAACCTACTATCATGGCAGAAGTCAAAGGGCAAAGCAAGAACATCTTCAGCAGGTCAGCAGGAGAGAGAGTGAAGGAAAAGGGCTACACACTTTCAAATACCCAGATCCTGTGAGAACTCTATCACAAGAACAGCCAGGGGGAATTCTGTCCCCATGATTCAATCACCTCCCACCAGGCCCCTCCTTGAACACCAGGAATTACAAGTTGACATGAGATTTGGGTGGGGACACAGAGCCGAACCATATCATCTTTACTCTGGTAAGGTCAGAACTCTAACTTCTCAAGACACTGCTCTTCTCATAGTACTGTTCAGCTCCTAGAATCTTTATTCTACTCTTGACCTCATGGCAGCTGCTATTTGATGAGCCTTTTGTAGTCTCACCTTGCACATGGACAGTCTACTTCTCAGATGGAGACTGAAAGAGCAACTTCCACATGTTCTTCTGAGACTGCCAATTTCTTACCCTGAAAATTCCAGCCACATAGACTACCTCAAACTCTGCCTCAACTCATCAAGACCTCAATTTTTGGTTAGTTTTTTTTTATTCCAGCTGTCTGCTCTATGATTGAGAAATCATCCCTAAGAAGAGAGCTGAGTCATCACATAGTCTACCTTTGGAGTTTCACTTCTCCCTGGGAGTCTTGAAGTGCTTTTTGTAAAATGCCTGAAATCCTGAAATACAATTGTAAACATATATGCACTCAACATTACAGCACCTGCATATACAAAGCAAATATCAACAGAACTAAAGGGAGAAATAGTAATACAATAATTGTAGGAGACTTAAATATCACACTTACAACAATGGATAGATCATCCAGACAGAATATCAACAAGCAAATAGTGGACTTGAACAACACTATACACCAAATGGACTTAACACACATATACAGAACATTCCATCCAACAGCTGCATGCACATTTTTTTCAAGGGTATATGAAACATTATCTGGAATAGATAATATGTTAGGCCTGAGAAATAAAACTGCAATCCTAAATCCCCCATCTGACTGACTGAACCCCTTCTTGGCCAAGGGGACCACAGGGAAACCTTAAAAGCTGAATTCCTGATCGTGACAGGATGGGAGGTTAGACATGCCTTATTATACCCCCTCTCACTAACTACCATTAGGCTTTTTTTCCTAAGGGTTAAACAGAAAGCAGCCCTTTCAAAACACTTGCTGGACTCCTTTCCCTTTGTGTGGTTTTGATACAACTAACCAGCATTCCTTCTTGATAGGAGACCACCAACCATGGACTGGTTTTGGTTGGTTTACAGAGGCTGCACACAGAATGCCTCTGTGTTTACCATTTCACCTTTTGACAAATATGGCCTAATTTTGCTGTATTTAAATTTTAAGTCTCCAAACCAAAGTGAACATGGGACTGTTACATGCATGTTTGCTTACTATGCATGTGCATGTCCCCCTTTTGTAAATATCCATAGCTCTTTCTGTAACCAGTTAAATATGTATACTTAGCCAACTCATTTAACATAAATTCCTGTTCTACCCTTCCCTCTCTCGAAGTTCCTGCTTCTGGTTTCTGCCAGAAGCTGTGCTTTTCAGCCTGCGGGATAGCCAGCCTGCAGGCTGCAACTCCTTAAAAGAAATAAAACTCTCCATTTCAGATTTATGAACCTCATGATTCTTCAGTTGAGAGGCCACAAAGCGAGTCTTGCAAGCCTTAGAAGACTGAAATCATATCAAGTATTTTTCTGACCACATGGTATAAAACTAGAAATCAATAACAAAAGAAAAATAGGAAAATTTACAAATACATGGAAATTAACATACTTCTGAACAACCAATGAGTCAAAAAAGAAATAAAAAAGAAAATAAAAAAGTATCTTGAGACAAATGAAAGTGGAAACACAACATGCCAAAACCTGAGGGATGCAGCAATAGTATTCTAAAAGTGAAATTTATAGTGGTAAACACTACATTAAGAAAAAAGAGAGATCTCAAATAAATAACCTAGCTTCACACTTCAGGGAACTAGAAAAAGAGCAAACTAAGCCCAAAGTCAGCAGAAGGAAGAAAATAATAAAGATCTGAGGATAAATAAATGAAATAAAAACTAGAAAAACAGGTAAAAAGATCAGTGAAACTAAGAGTTTGTTTTCTGAAAGATGAACAAAATTCACAAACCTTTAGTTAGACTAAGAAAAAAGAGAGAATACAATTATAACTGAAATAAATAAAAATTATAATAAGTAATTGAAATAAAATCATAACCAGAAGAGAAGACATTGTGGCTGATAATCTCAAAGAATTATTAGATTACTATGAACAACTATCCATCAACAAATGAGATAACCTAGAAGAAGTGGATAAATTCTTGGAAACATACAACCGACCAAGACTGAATCAGGAAGAAATAAAAAGTCCGAATAGACCAATAACAGGTATGGAGATTGAATCATTAATCACAAACCCCTCCAACAAAATAAAAGTCCAGTACATGATGGCTTCATTGGTAAATTCTACCAAACATTTAAAACGTACATTTAAAACAAATTTTTCTCAAATTCTTCCAAAGGAATGAAGAAGAGGGAACACTTTCAAACTAATTTTACAAGGCCACCATTACTGTTACACAAAAGCCAGTTAAGGACACTATAAAAAATAAAAATTATAGACCAATATCCTTAATGAGCACAGATGCAAAAATGTTCAACCGAATACTCGTAAACCAAATTCAGTAGAGTATTAAAAGGATCATACACCATGATCAAGGAGGATTTACCTCTGGGAGGCAAAGATGGTTCAATAGATGCAAATCAATAAATGTGATATGCCACATTCACAAAATGAAGGATAAACATTGTATGATAATCTCAACAGATGCAGAAAGATCATTTGACAAAATATAACATCATTTCATAAAAATCTCAACAAACTAAGTATAAAAGGAATATACCTCAATGTAATAAAGCTATTATATACATCTCTTATAAAAGCCATATATGACAAGCCCACAGCTAGCATCACATTCAGTGATGAAAAGTTGAAAGATGTTTCTTAAAGAACAGCTAAAGGACAAGGATGCCCATTCTCACCACTTGCATTAAACATAATACTGGAAGTCCTAGCCAGAGCAATTAGGCAAGAACAGAAATGAGGGATTCAAGTCAGAAAGGGAACAGTAAAGTGATTTCTGTTTGCAGACAAGATAATCTAATATAGAAAGCTCTAAAGACTCCACCAAAAACTGTTAGAACTAATAAATACAGTAAACTTTCAGGATACAAAATCAACATATAAAAATTAGTAGCATTTCTATATACTAACGATGAGCTATCCAAAAAAGAAATTGAGAAAACAATCCCATTTACAATAGCATAAAAAGATAAAATACTTAGAAATAAATTTAACCAACGAGGTGATAGATCTGTACGCTGAAAGCTGCGAAACATTGATGAGAGATGTTGAAGACACAAAAAATAGAAATATATTCCATATTTATGGATTGGAAGAATTAATACTGTTAAAATTTCTGTACTACCTTAACCAATACACAGATTCAATATAATCTCTATCAAAACATTAATGGTATTTTCATATAAACAGAAAAAGCAATTTTAAAATTTGTATGAAACTACAAAAAACTCCAGAAAGCCAAAGCATTCTTGAGCACAAAGAACAAAACTGGAGGCATCACACCACCTAATTTCAAAATATACTGTAAAGCTATAATAATCAAAACAGAATGGCACTGGAATTTAAAAAGACACATAGACCAAAGGAATAGAATAGAAAGCCTAGAAAGAAATCCACACTGTTCTGATAAACTGATCAACAAATGTGCCAAGAACATTTAATGGAGAAAGGCCATTATCTTCATTGAGTAGTGTTAGGGAAACTAAATATCCACATGCAGAAGAATGAAATTGGACATTTATCTGGCACTACATCTTAAAGTCAACTCAAAATGGACTAAAGACTTAAAGACATGAAATTGTAAAACAGCCACAAGAAAATGCAGGAAAAAGGCTTCTTGACACTGGTTTGGGCAATGATTTTTTTGGATATGACCTCAAACATATAGGCAACAAAAAGAAGAATAGACAAATGGGATGACCTTAAATTAAACAGTTTCTGCACAGCAAAGGAAACAATCAACAGAGTGTTGATTCTTCCTACAAATGGGAGAAAATATTTGCATATTACCATACACCTGGTAAGAAGTCAATATCCAAAATATATAAGAAATTCAAACAGCTCAATAGCAAGAAAATAAATGATGCAATTAAAATTGGGCAACAGGCCTGAATAGACATTTCTCAAAAGAAGACAAGCAAATGGCCAACAGTTACATGCAAAAGTACTCAACATCATTCATCAGGCAAATGCAAATCAATATTACAATGAGAAATCACCTAATGCCTGTTAGAATGGCTATTGCCAAAAAGACAAAAGACAGACAATAAATGTTGGTGATGAGGCAGAAAAAAGGAAACACTGGTACACTGTTGGTGGAAATGTGAATTAGTACAGCCATTATGAATAATAGTATCGAGGTCCCTCAAAAATACAAATATAACTGCCATGTGACTGAGCAATTCCAATTCTGGGTATCGGTATGTTGAAGAGATAACTTCATCACCATGTTGATTGCAGGAGTATTCACAAAAGAGCCAAGATCCGGAATCATCTTAAGTAGCCATCAGTTAATAAATGTATAAAGAAATTGTGGTATATATGATGATGGGATATTATTCAGTCTTAGAAAATGAGGAAATCTTGTCATGTGCAGCAACATGGATGAACCTCAAGGACAATGTGCTAAGTGAAATAAGCCAGGCACAGAAAGATAAATACTGCATGATGTCACTTATATATGGAGTCTAAAAAAGTCAAGCTCATAGAAGCAGAGAATAGAGTAGTGATTTCCAGCAGGTGGAGGTTGGGAGTATAGACCTTCTCTTTCCCAGGGTGTTATTCTTCCTAATCAAAAACAGAGTCAGGAGATAATTCTCTACAGCCAAGTCCTCTTCAAACACTTGCTCTCCGTAGCTCAACTTCAACAATAAAAAAGCACAGAAAAAGCTGTTGGATATATATTTATGACTTAAAGTAAATATACATTCTTAATTTCATTGAAATGGATACTTTGGAAATATTTTCCTCTCACTTTACAATTTTAAAATATGTCTTTTAGAGAAGTAGTAGAGACAGAGATTTGGAGCCTGGGCTCTGGGGGTCAGATTATCTTGCAGTCATATTTTGACTCTACTATTCATTCATTCTCAGCTATAATGCATATAAGTGGGTCATTTCCTGTGTTAGTTTCCTGGAACTGTCAAATCAAAATGCCACAACTGGGTGGCTTAAACAACAGAAGCTTACTGTCTCACAATCTTGGAGTCGAAAAGTCTGAGATCATGGCGCCAGCAGGGTTGGGTCTTTTTGATGTCAGCGAGGGAGAATCTCTCCCATGCCTCTCTCCTAGCTTCTGGTGGTTTCCTGGCAATCTTTGGTATTTCTTGGCTTGTAGATGTGTCACCTCAAACTCTGCCTTCATGTTCATCAAAAAACTCATAGTTCTTCAGCCACCCACACATCCCTAAATGCTCAGCTCCTTCCCTAGCTCACACAGCTCTCATCTCATCTCCTATCTCTCCCTTTTTTACCACGTTTCAGCTCTTTTGACATTTTTGCTTTTTCTGGAACACAAGACAAGTACATCCCCCAGTGGATGCCTGAAGCTGTAAATGGTACCAGATCCTATATGTACTATGTTTTTTCCTATACATACATACCTATGATAAAGCTTCATTTATAAATTAGGCACAGTCAGAGATTAACAATGACTGATAATAAAATAGAACAAGTATAACAGTATGTCAGCATCGCTACTCTTGCACTCAAGGGCGATGATTAAGTTAAAAAAAGGGGGTTACTTACTTGAACACTAACATTGTGATACCTCGACAGTCAATCTGAGGACCTACAGCAGTACTGAGTGGCTCATAGGCAGGTAACTCTACAGCATGGAGACGCTAGACAAAGGGAGGATTCATGATCTGGTAGGGAGGGAGCAGGATGGCTCAAGATTTAATCACGCTACTCAGAATGGTACACAATTTAAAACCTATAAACTGTTTATTTCTGGATTTTGTCACTTAATGTTTTTGAACCACAGTAGACCATGGGTAACTGAAACCACTAAGTGAAACCTCAGATGGTGACTGTCTACCCGGACAGCCATGTACTCGCTGTTTCCTCTTCTTGCTATGCTGTTCCCCTAGTTATGTACATGATGCACGCCCTCCCTTAATTCAAGCCTCTGAACAAATGTCTCTATTTCAGGGAGGCTTTCCCTGAATAAGAAACAAGCTCTGAATAAAATAGCAATAAAATAGCCCTCTACCCTCCCACTGTCTAGTCTCCTGCTCTGTTTCCCTCTTCTCCATAGCACTTATGATGTACTTAGTTATTTATCATCTATCTTCTCAAGCTGTAGATCAAGGACTCTGTCTCCTTGCTTTAATTCTTTGTCTCCATTTTCCTCTGGTACAAAATGGGATTTCAATAAATACGTTTTGAGTGGATGGATGAATGAATGAATGAATGGGCTTTGAAGAGAGCCTTTTACATAATGAGTCCTAAATAAGTATTATTTATAATTCTTATTCCTAATTAATCTTTCCCAAAATAGTCACTGCTGTGATCAATTTTCTGTATGCTTTTCTCTTCTCTTATTCTGCTCTGAAAATGTCATGCCGAAAGACAGAACACATTCAAACAAAGGGCAAGATCCAATGTCCAAGTGTGATCGTAAAATAGGAAGCCTGACAATATCCCTTGAAATCTCAAAAAGTATAAACATTCTGGAAACCTAGACTCACAGAAAGGCACTATACTGGAACTTTGGTTAAAATATGAACACCAAATTCCCTTATTCTTTATTTTTTTAATCAAAAATATTCATCTTCACATGTGTGGCCTTTTTTCTCTCCCTTCTAAGTTCCATTCCAGGCCCAGAGGAGATATCTAACCTGGGCCATCTATTTTCATCACTTGCAGGCATGAATTTTTCCTCCTCAAATGCTTAGAATTTTAAATCTCTCATAGAGCATTTATAACTTAATAGCTTTAAATTATAATAATTGGTATTTGTTTCTCATTTCCCTTACTAAGTTATAAGTTTCATGGAGGCCAAGAAAATATATTTTGTCCTGTATTTCTTTCTTTTTTTAAAAAAAAAAAAGAAAAAAAGAAAAAGAAGTAGAGATGAGGTCTCACTGTGTTGCCCAGGCTGGTCTCGAATTCCTGAGCTTAAGTGATCTTCCTGCCTCACCCTCTTGAAGTGCTGGGATTGCAGCTGTAAGCCAATGTGCCTGGCCTTCAACCTGTATTTCTCGTGGCATCTAGCCTGAATGAGGGACATAAAAATAGTTTTGAATAATGAAAAAGACTTAGTCAAACTAGGCACACAAAAATACACTGATATCTTTTCTTTTCTTTTCTTTTTTTTGGACATAGAGTCTCACTCTGTTGCCCAGGATAGAGTGCAATGGCATGATCTCTGCTCACTGCAACCTCCACCTCCCGGGTTCAAGTGATTCTCCTGCCTCAGCCTCCTGAGTAGTTGGGATTACAGGCGCACACCACCACATCTGGCTAATTTTTGTATTTTTAGTAGAGACGGGGTTTCACCACATTGGCCAGACTGGTCTCAAACTCCTGACCTCAAGTGATCTGCCCGCCTTGGACTCCCAAAGTGCTTGGATTACAGGTATGAACCACCACACCCGGCCATTCTGATTTCTTTTGATAGTTGTGAAAAAAACAACTGTGAAATAGCCCTGGCTTCTCTGAGTGGAAAGTGTTAAATTAAATAAGCTCATTTTTGCCATTAACTACTAACAACCCTATCAACTCATTGCATGAAGATGAATTTAATTCATTGTTTCTTATCCCTTTGGTATTCTTATTGAAGGTAGAGATGTAGTTTTATTTTCTTTTTCTGAGACTTACCATCCAGAAAATCAAAATACTGTAATACTCTCTTGCTCATAGGGCTGAGTAATGAGGCAATTAATTATCATGTAATGCATTGTAACTCCTGGAGTAAAGGTTTTATATGCGTGCAAAGGGGTATTATTCTAGGAGAGTTATGACACTGGCAGTCTTTGACTCGTGGGTGGTGTAGGTGGAGTGAGGTGATGAGGCAGCAGCTGAACAAACTTCACTGAATTAAGAAATAGGGATTTAAAATTTGCCTTGTGAGATGCTGGTAGAGTGATGGCCTCACTGATACTTCTGAAGGAATGGCCTGAGCATTATTAGAAACACGGACATAAAAGAACAGTTGGGTCTTACCTATCAATTTTGCAGTTAGCAAAAATAAATTGATTTAGTAGCCTCAAAGGTAAGCTTGAGACAAGCAAAACAAAACAAAAAAACAGATTGCCTTAAATATTGAATTCATTTAAATCACTTATTTGATTTATTTGTTACTTCAACAGATACATACTTAGCTCCTCTTATGAGCCAGACTCTATTCTCTTTCCCCATGAACTTGACATTTGTGTGCAGAAAGACAGATAATAAGGAAGTAAATCTATAGTATGGTTGGTGTTGTAGGGAAAAGAAGACATAGGGTATGGCTGAGGGTGAAGGTGCTATATCTCCTTCAGGTTAGTCAGGAAAGACTCCACTGATAACGGTGCATTTTAGTAGAGTCACGAAGAAAAGGAGTGAGCCAAGTAGTTGTATGGGGTAGACTCATGTGATAACCTCTGCCAAACTCACGTAGGAGTATGCTCAGTGTTTGATGAGTTCATGCTTGCTGTTACTAATTCTCCCTCCAAAAGTTTCAACCAATTTGTACTACTTGGTTCTTCAAATAAGTTTTGTTAATGTATAAAAAATTATACTCATAAGTTATATAGTTTTGTTCATTTCTATTAATACAAAAATATTTGTGCAACTAAACTGGGAGATAATTTATTCTGAAAATAAGGTAAAGTACACACACATACAAACAGACAACCTCCCTTACCCACCGCCCATCTTTTGCTTGTCTTATGCTTTGCTATTTTCCAATCACTAGAGAAAATGAAACCAAAGGATAGGCTAAGAACCAAGTATTAGTCACCAGCATGGACAACAGGCCACCCTCTTAGGTGAATAATTCTCAGACAGGGAGGAAGCTCTTTCTGCTTCAGTGCTTTACACATCAAAGAAGAGGTAAAGGTGCTGGCTAAGTAATATTTTAAAAAGAAAAGGGTAAGTAGTCTTCGTACTAGTAGACATCTGAAGCTCCTTCTATCAGTGATTTAGTGGCTTAGGGGCTGTGACAAGGTCTAGGCACCACATTGCAAGTCTACCATCTGGAAACAAACAAAAAAATTGTAGTCAGATTTTTTTTCTTTTTTTGTTTTTGAGACAGAGTCTCGCTCTGTCGCCCAGGCTGGAGTGCAGTGGCACGATCTCGGCTCACTGCAAGCTCTGCCTCTTGGGTTCATGCCATTTTCCTGCCTCAGCCTCCCGAGTAGCTGAGACTACAGGCACCCGCCACCACGCCTGGCTAATTTTTTTTTTTTTTTTTGTATTTTTAGTAGAGATGGGGCTTCACCATGTTGGCCAGGCTGATCTCGAACTGCTGACCTCAGGTGTTCCACTGACCTTGGCCTCCCAAAGTGTTGGGATTACAGGCGTGAGCCTCCGTGTCTGGCCAGATTTTTTTTTCTTTCTGATAATTGGACTAACACAATTGCTTGTCTTAAGTAAGTTCAAGTATTTTTCTTTGGTTCTGCCAGACCAAGTACTAAAGTATTAGAACAAATCGATAACCTTCAAATTTCATTTTTTTTCTTCCCAGAATTCAAGGAAAAAGAAAAAGTATTTTCTAAATTTGAAGACCTGAGTATATTGCACAGTTCTCTGGTCATGATTGATGTTTTACACAGTCTGACTTTAAAATCAAAAATTTTCTTTCCTGTATCTATAGAGAGCAGAGTAGATGAGTGGAAACACTGCTGGCCATGTCATCACAACTACTTTGTGTTTAAGCAATGCATCCACCACCTGTAGATTTATCAGAGAAGTGGGTGGCTACGGTAAACAGGTGTTTTTTTGTTTTGTTTTGTTCTTTCCTTTTCTTCCTTCTGTCCTCACTCCTACATCCCTGATTTGCCAGTCTAATCTCAGATTTGTGGAGGACTGTTTTCACCTTCTTCTTCTTCTTCTTCTTCTTTTTTTTTTTTTTTTTTTGAGACAAATTCTGGCTCTGTCACTCAGGCTGAAGTGCAATGGCGTGATCTTGGCTCTCTGCAACCTCTGCCTCCCAGGTTCAAGTGATTCTCCTGCCTCAGCCTCCCAAGTAGCTGGGATTACAGGCATCCACCACCACACCCAGATAATTTTTGTATTTTTAGTAGAAACGGGGTTTCACCATGTTGGCCAGGCTAGTCTTGAACTCCTGACCTTAGATGATCCACCCACCTTGGCCTCCCAAAGTGCTAGGATTACAGGCGTGAGCAACCAGGCCTGGCCCTGTTTTCACCTTCTTAATCCATTGTTCATATTTGTAGCCAGTGCGGCTGGGCGCGGTGGCTCAAGCCTGTAGTCCCGGCACTTTGGGAGGCCGAGGCGGGCGGATCACGAGGTCAAGAGATCGAGACCATCCTGGCTGGCGCGGTGAAACTCCGTCTCTACTAAAAATACAAAAAATTAGCCAGGCGTGGTGGCAGGCGCCTGTAGTCCCAGCTACTAGGGAGGCTGAGGCAGGAGAATGGCGTGAACCCGGGAGGCGGAGCTTGCAATGAGCAGAGATTGCGCCACTGCACTCCAGCCTGGGTGACAGAGCAAGACTCCGTCTCAAAAAAAAAAAAAAAAAATACACATATTTGTAGCCAGCGCATCACACGCACAGTGAAAAGTGGCAGAAAGAAGCCAATATATGCTTCTACTTGTTCTGAAACTAATTTATAGCATGTACATATGTAGTTGCATTGCTACTATTAACATTTGCATGCATATTTACAAGCAAAAGCCTTGGAAATACTGTTAAAATCTGTGACTTTCTACTTTCATGAAATGCCTTGCATTTATTCCTATTTCTAAAAGCTTTAAAAATGTCATAACCAGAAGTCAAGTCGTTGTGGTTTCCTAGGAGGTTTCATAAGAATTTTGGAGCAGTGGTATGAAAAGCACATATTTCTAGCCAGGCGTGGTGGCTCACGCCTGTAATCCCAGCACTTTGGGAGGCCGAGGCAGGCGGATCACCTGAGGTCAGGAGTTTGAGACCAGCCTGGTCAACATGGTGAAACCTGGTCTCTACTAAAAATACAAAAAAATTAGCTGGGCATCTGTAATCCCAGCTACTTGGGAGGCTGAGGCATGAGAATCGCTTCAACCCGGGAGATGGAGGTTGCAGTGAGCTGAGACCATGCCATTGAACTCCAGCCTGGGCAACAAGAACAAAACTCCGTCTCAAAAAAAAAAGAAAGAAAGAAAAGAAAAGCACGTATTTCCACTAACAGATGCAGGATGTAAAATTGTTGGTTACCAAAATTTGAGATGTTCATGATAACAGAACTTATTGTATAATGTGTGTACAAATACATATGGATATACATTAACTTTCCTCAAAATTACATAATTTCTATCTAACTTAAGCACAAGTAATTTTATTTAGAAGTATAGCTTTCTGGCATTGCAACATAGTTTACTGCCTTTCTCTAAATTGGCTCAAATTTACTTAAGTGCTTGTTCTATACCCTTAAAATGGTTATGTTAAAGAATGAAACATCAAGGCATAATCATTTTACTTACCTAATTTATTTGTAGATCATCTTCTATTAATTTTTTGTGTTTTTTATTCCGAAGCAACAATGTGCAATATTGCTGACATACATAGAATGCACAGAAATCAAAATAACAAGATGAAGGTTGAAAATATCAAATATGCATATGTTTCCCAAATATCTGATGCTATCCAAGGTTTCAGTGTTTAAGTCAAGGTCATAGGCAAGATTCTAATATAAAGCAGCTAAGTTCTTGACCAAAAAGTGGATACTATGGCTGGATCTAGGAAGAGCCTTCATTTTTACCATTTGGAAAATCAATTCCTGTTATGTCTGTTATTATATTTTGTGAACAGGAGTTAGCATTTTTTACTAGACACTAATCTTTGGTGTTTTTTTGTTATTTTTTTTTTTTTACTTTTTAAAATACTGGAATATATGATACCGTGGAACCACAGACACAGTCATAAGCGTGCATTTGGATTCATTAATTCCACAGGATGTCATCACTTTCTAAGACAAAATGAAGCATTTATGTCCATTTTACTGAGACCAGTTTTTTAATGAATTGTTTGCTCCTAAAGAAATAGTGAATAAAATCACGATCATCAAGGCATAACTTATTTGGAGTTCTAAGCTTTAAATACACAGGAGACCAACCAGATCATCCAGTATGACCTAATTTCCTGACCCTGGTTCCCTCTTGCTGACTTTCCATACTTGGAAACTGAGTGCAAATTTAAAAGAGGAAAGAAAAGAAATCCACTCAAGAGCTGTTAAAAATGTATCTATGCACTCAATCTATGTACCACTGTGTAATTATAATAACATAAACAACTCCACTGTAAGGACATTCACATCAGACCTAATTTCATGCTGAAGTATTATAATGCAATTAACAGCCTCATAGTCCTGTTTTAATTAAGCTCTGTTGTGAAATATGCAGCATTTGAACCTGTTCCGGCCTGTTTTGTCTACCATTGAATTACCGTCCTTAACTTGTTTTTCTGCTGAACGATGAATTTCATTTAAGGATTACTGTTCGTGGGTCTGGCAGTTTGTGGAATCTTACAGGTTTTGTGCCTCCAGATGGAGGTCAGCTTCAGCCCCTCAAATGTGTCCTATATGTGTAGTCTCTCAACTCACTTGTCTCAATACATTTATTAACTTACATTGGGCTCTCCCAGAAATGAAGGGGCATGTTTGGCTTAATGAAAGAGATTTTAGATGACAGGAGAGAGACTTGTGGAGCTAACTTCAGATTCTGTACGGCACCGTAGCTCTCTTCTGGCCTATCATTTTGCAGAAATACTAAGCGATCTCCACTTTTCCATGGATGTTAGTCTGCCAAACAGTTTAACCATTACTCACTAGAAAATGGAACACAAAGACACCTATAGAAAATGCAGTTTATAGAAAAAGCATATCCTGCTTCCTTCTTTTTCTCCCTCACCTACTCTAGGCAAGAAGGTCTGGGTTGTCTGGTATTTGCCTTAGCAGATATTTCCCTTCCTCTGTTTGAATTGCCTTCATAGCCTGAAATAAAATGAAATGAGAAATGTTATAAGGGAACATTTAAGTTGATCATCAAATATCATAGGTCAGTCTGCTGAGTAGCTGGTTCCTCAACAGCTAGGTTTCAGGACCTAGATTAAAAAATCAAGCAAATGAAGTTGCAGAGACTCATGTTCACCTCCGTGAATTGTTCAGAATTGAGCCACGTGACCTAGACAAATGGTGATTTCTTCATCACTCCCTACCTTTGTATCTGTCCTCTCATTAGCCTCTCTTCAGATTGTATCCCTGTTATAAGACATCCCTCTTCCTCTTCCTCTTCCTCTTCCTCTTCTTCTTCTTCTTCTTCTTGCTTCTTCTTCTTCACCTTGCCCTACTTTCTTAACCCTAGGGAGGATTTTTCAGAAGTTTTCAAAACTAAGCATCCCCAATTGCTTAGTTTTGTCAGAATTGTCAGAATATAAAGCATTTACCTATAGGGTAGGGTGTTTTCATGGCCAACGTGAGAACAGTCAGCAGCTAGCCAGAAATATCCTCTTCTGTATGAGCATCTAATTCAGAACCTTAAACCATTTCTAGGCCAGGCGCAGTGGCTCACGCCTGTAATCCCAGCACTTTGGGAGGCCAAGGTGGATGGATCAACTGAGGTCAGAATTTCGAGACCAGCCTGGCCAACATGGTGAAACCCCGTCTCTACAAAAAATACGGCAGGTGTGGTGGCAGGCACCTGTAATCCCAGCTACTCGGGAGGCTGAGGCAGGAGAATCACTTGAACCCATGAGGCGGAGGTTGCAGTGAGCGGAGATTACACCATTGCACTCCAGCCCAGGCAACAAGAGCAAAACTCTGTCTAAAATAACAAAAAACAAACAAACAAAAAATATTTTAGTGAAGTTGTATGGGTCACTCACTCTAATTTCTCTCTTTCTCTCTCCCCTTTCTTTCTTTCCCCCCCCCCCAAAAAAAAGGTGTATACTCATACAGCAATATAGTAGGATCTAACCTGGTCCACATACCTTGCTGTTCACAGGTGTTTCGGGTGTCCTGTCCTATGTTAAGAATTGATGGCTAGAAATTCTGAAATGACCATAATAGCTTTGGTATTAGACCCTTATGGTTCAAGGAAGGGAGAAAAAGAATGTATTCCAGTACCTTTCCTAGTTAATCTTCAATTCCAAGGACCTTGAGAACCTTCCATGGGACATTAGTAGAACGGAATGTCCGAGGTGATTTGAATGCTGCCTCTATTTCTGCTAAGTTTCCACCCAGACCAAAGATAGGAAAATCTTCCCACAGAGTCTTCCATATGCACACTTAGTAAAGAGAAAATTCAGCACCCAGATCGTGTTCAGACATATCCCCATTCTGCAGCAGCACATGCGTGCACAACAATAGTGCACTCTGTGATCAAACATTTTACCACACGGTGAAAGCAAAAATGTGTGGGCTTTAGAGTCAGGCCAATATGGGTTCAAATATCAGAGCTGCCTGATTACTGTTGGGTTCTCAGGGGGCTAGTATGTTATACGTCTCTTCCCCACCCTGAGCTATTTGACAAAATTAAGAAGACACAGGAACCAGACCAAAGGAAATAAAAATCTCAGCCTCATTACTGCAAAAGCTGTTTGGAAGATGTGGCTGTAGATCGGCAGCCAAGTGGGTTTGCTACTTTGTCACTCAGAAGGAAGGAGACTCTTCCTGAAAGGGGCCTGCTCTGCTTAAAATGACATTAGAGATAGGCAAAGAATATAGGTACTTCCTGGGGCAGCCTGAATCCAAAAGAATGAGAGAGGAGGGACAAGGAAAGCTCCTCTGCTTTCTTGTTTCAAATGCACCAGGGAGAAGAGTAAGTTAAACTTGAGAAGAGAGGCCAGGAAAATAGGGAAACCTGAGCCGCAGGAGTAAAGGTTACCTCTTAGTAAATATCATCACATAACTGTGTCTTTGAGCAAGTTACTTAACATTTCCGAGTCTTAGTTTCTTTGTCTATAAAATGGGAATAATAATACTAACCTGACAGGCTGCACATACTTAAATTGTTAAAAATGTGTGTGTGTGCATGTGTGTGTGTGCATGTGTGTGTGTACTACAACTGCTACCTTAGAGCCTGCCACTAAATAATAAATAATGCCACCTCACTTTCTAGTCTATCCCCCACCCCTACCTTTCCTCCTAGATACTAAATCAGTCAAAGATGTCTCTGGGTAGAAGGCAATTCAACCCTCTCTCTCCTACGATTAGGAGTGGTTAAAAAGGAGAAGAAGCACTGGGCGCGGTGGCTCATGCCTGTAATCCTAACACTTTGGGAGGCCGAGGCGGGGATATCACCTGAGGTCACGAGTTCAAGACCAGCCTGGCCAACTGGGTGAAACCCCATCTCTACTAAAAATACAAAAATTAGGTGGGTGTGGTGGTGAGCGCCTGTAATCCCAGCTACTCAGGAGGCCGAGGCAGGAGAATTGCTTGAACCCAGGAGGCAGAGGTTGCAGTGAGCCGAGACTGCACCATTGCACTCCAGCCTGGGAGACAAGAGTGAGACTTCATCTCAAAAAAAGAAAAAAAAAAAAGGAGAGGAAGAAGGAAGTACGTAATTCTTAAGTGAATAAGAATTATTGTTAAAAATCTGCTCTGCACAGTTTGCTGCCCATATTTTCAAAGTCACTCACACTTTTAAAGGAATGAGCTGTTGAAGTGAGAGTTAATGCTTTAGGGACAAATGTGTCCATCTTCCTATTCCTTTAAACATGCAAATGCCACCTAAGGAAGTGGAGATGTAGGTTTGTTCCATGTTACATTTCCAAGATGGGGAGTGAGGCTCCCATCTATCTGGGTCACAAAAAGCTGTCTCCTAACTCCTGTCTCACCAGTGTTTTGTGGAATGAGTGGAGACTCTGGTTCCCCAGCATGCAGCATGCTTGTTCCCATCTCATTTCTTTTATTCTGCTTGGCCTAAAGTTAAACATTTTACATCCAGAGGCTGGGAAATATCAGTGAATGGGCTAACCCTAAGGGAGAGAAGGAGAGGTGTTTGTGATAGCTGGCCTGGTGCTGTGTGCACAGGGAGGGTGGCTAGGAGCCCTCAGTTTGGCCAGTCATCATCCACATCCGGGGGGAGGGTGGTGTTGCTTAATGTCCTCACCAGGCTGTTATGAAGAGTAAGAGTTCATTCTGTAATTTGACTTATGTTACCGTAGTTGCTAGTCTTGACATAGTTTAATAAGTATCTCCTTTGGCCGGTGCGGTGGCGCCTGCCTGTAATCAATCCTACTTGAGCTCAGGAGTTTCAGACCAGCCTGGGCAACACTGATTAGTTTGGGGACCCCGTCTCTACAAAGAATACAAAAATTAGCTGGGTGTGGTGGCACATGTCTGTGGTTCCAGCTACTTGAGGGGCTGAAGCAGGAGGATCATTTGAGCCCAGGAGGTGGAGGCTGCAGTGAGCCATGATCACACCACTGCACTCCAGTCTGGACAACAGAATGAGATCCTGTCTCAAAATAAAATTTCAAAAAAGTAAAATAAATTTCTTTTTTAGACATATTCAGTGCGATTTAATCACTGTGCTTCCTCAAACCTTCCCTGCCTGCTTGCTTTAGCCCCATTTCAATGTCATCACTGGCCATTGGTGTCTCATGCTGGTTGCCCCTTTTGAGGCATCTCTGACTCATACCTCATATCTAGCTAGCGTCCTTAACTCTGCTGATTCTATCTCAGAAAAGGAAACCATGGATTTGGTCTCCAATCCAGTTGCTGCTGCCCCAGTGCAGGGTCTCATTATCCACTTTTCATGGAATGTGCTCCAAACTCATCCTTCTGGTCTACATTTCAAGTTGCCTCAGCATATGACCTTAAAACACAAATCAGGTCAAACCTCTTCTGCTTTCAAACTTCCAGCAGCTTCCCCCATGCGTGAATTACATTCAAATGACTCAGCACAGCATCCAGGGTCTTCGCAGTACCACTTGACTTTCCAGCCTCATGTCCTTGTCCTCACACGCCTCCTCAGTCCCGTCCACTGAACCCTTCATTGGCACCTGGGCCTGCTGTGCACTTCTGCTTCTCAGGGCCTTTCGGGTGCTCCTCCTCTGCCAGCAGCACCTGTCGCCCTTTTCATACCTATTGAAATCCCACTCAAGTTCTGAGACCAAATTCAAACTTCAACTCCTTGGTAAGGTTCCTTCTGCACACTCGTCACAAACTTATTTTAAGTCAAATACACATCAGTTTCTTACTGTGAATTTTTGGTAGATTGTTAAGCTCCTAAAGCATGTTTACATGTCTCAAAAACCTCTCATAGGATGGTTCCTCAAAAAACCTTTGTTTTAATCATTTTAGAACTTGATCTTTTCTCTTCTTCAAGCCATTTCAAGATATTTATACTATTTCCCCCGTCTGTCTGAATTTTAATTATACCTTTTCAGCTTCAAAGAAAAAGTCATCAGAATCTTGGGAGTTTATTGTCAATTATGAACTTGATTTAAAGAGTAACAGGCCAGAATTTTCTTTCATATCTCTGAGGACTTAAGGTATTTCTAAGTCTTAGGGGGAGTTAACATGTTTGATATGGGATTTCCACTGCAACACCCAAATGTTTTCTGCCTTAAAGAGAGCAAGTAAGAAAAGAATCTATTGAAAACTTTCTCCTGCCTACTTTTGAAACTACTGCCATCTGTGAATATGGAAACTGGAAATTTCAGAAAGCATCTATATAGCTCAGCAGTTGTAGAAAAAGATAACAAAGATATCTGGAGACCAGAGAGCTTATCAGCCTCAAAGTTTAGAGTGGTACAGTGTAACCTTCATCGTCAATAGTTTAAATAAACAAAAGGATAGGATCTTTGGAACACATTCATAATTCAATTAATATTGATGAAGGCCTCACAGGGTTCACTGTATTATATTAGACAGTGAAATTGTTACCTGAAAAATCCTACAAGAAATTAAAGTCCAGTATGTGCAAAAATTGGGATTGCTGTAAAGGAAAAAACAGTGGGTAAATACATGAAATATACAAAAACCCTGCCCGGTGCACCTCTGTAAAGTGTGTCTTTGATGTATCTTGTGCACTGTTACAGTGATGCCAGAGACTCAGCACTTAGCACAGCACCAGTAAATAAAAAAGAACAAAGATTTCTTTCGGATGAGAAAGCACAAACACCCATTCATAAAACCATTGGTAAGCATTTTTTTTTTTTTAATCAACACTGTCATTTTCACAGCCTGCTTGATCTTCCTACTTTGGGTTAATATGGAAGCCAATTACAGCTTCATCTGTGTAGAATTAACTTTATGGAGCACACACCGGGGATTTGTCTATCTTCACTATTTAGATATATGCCATAAAAATATGCATGGAACGGAGTGCAAGCACTGCAGATGGCAGAGACTTTCAGATTTATTGTAAAATCATTTAAAATCGGTTATGCTCTCGCCAGAAGTTAATTAATTTTTTTCTGTTCTTTTCTGGGGCTGGGGGGCTGGGTTGGGGGGGGCTGTGTCTCACTAGGTGGCAGTGTATGATTACATCTGGAAAAGCCATGGCATTAAGTCCAGTGTCTGCAGCTGTGACCTCCAACATCAAAATGAAATTTCTGTGTCTGCACTTGGTCCAGGAGATATTACTTCTCATGTATCTGTATATACCATTTATCCCAGTGGGTTGCAAGAGCTGTACCGCCATTTTCTGAGACTCCCCGGTGGGCCATTGTTGAGGTATGTATATATGAAAATATCTGATGCAAATGCTGGGCATTTTGTAGTGCTTGAATGTACATATCCATATATATATATGTGTGTGTGTGTGTGGGTGTGTGTGTGTATGTGTATATGTATATGTGAGCTTCAATATTACCTTACAGACATATCATAACTTATGTTTTTAACATATGGTGGGCTTGAAGATGTGTTTTAGTTTTTGCCTAAACAAAGGCACTACATAGAAAAAAAAAAGTTTCTGTGCCTAACTATGTCCGAGAGAGGCAAGAAACAAATCAGGTAAAATAATTGAGGATTCTGACTGCAATAACTTTTACTCAATGTTTGTAAACATTAGCAGGTTGGTGAATAATAGTTCTCGGAGTTCATGAACACCTCCATGCCTCAGGAATTGCACAGTCTTTCCCTTAAATGATCTCGCACAAAATAAATCAGATGGTAGCATTTCATTTTGTTTTCCCTGCGAGAAAAATCTTTAAAAATAAAGAAATGTGCCCCATCCCTAAATCTTTAAAAACATTTTCAAGTAGCATTTGGCAAAGATCTTAACGTTATGTTTTCTCCTAAAAAGTCAGGATCTTTCAGTGGGCTCACTTTGAGTGTTTTAAGACTCTCTTGCATTCCATCATATTCTCTGAATCCAAATTCATGGTCTGTCCCATTAGCATCACCCTTGAATCGTGAATTCTGAAGGAGTGTTATTAGTTGGTGGAAATAAAGAGTAGTGGAGAAGGAAAATTAAGATACAACATTTGGTTCCCTAGTCCTGTTGGCATACAAACATCACTTAACAGTGGCACAATACTGGTTGATTATAATTGGAAGGATATTTGAATATTCTACTGAATATTAGAATATTGAAATTCTAATGTTCCCAGCACATTTTCCTTTTGAACTTTAGCCATTGTTGTTTTTGTTACTAAGTTGATGAAAGTGTGTCCTCCTAAAACATCCTTTTCAATATAACCTTCAAGCAATTTCAAACTGTTTAGCACCCAGTCTTGCGGATTGGGAGTTTCTTCCTCCTGCTATCCCAGCCCACAACATTGCTTGGGTACTTGAGTGAGTCACATGGACATCTACTCGGAAATGATTTCCCATCAGCTGGCTCTCCTCTCCCCCTGACCAAGGTGTAGTATGAGAGGGAATTGCCTATATTGTACCAAAGCAGCAGGTAGGCAGATTATGACAGTATCCAGTGTAAGACTTTGGGAGTTTGGGTCTCAGGCTGCTATTGCTGCTTTTGCATATAATCCTTTTCAGATTTCTGAAACATTTGCTTAAGAAATCTCTTTGCAGAACAAAACTGCCAAGGATGAATCTTTAAAACAATTTGCATAGGCTTGTGCTCAAATGTGTGTGTACACCACACACTGAAATAACACTAAAAGAAGAGACATCAGGGTGACCTGCCCTTCTGCTACAAAATATCTTGTAGATCCCAGAGCCTTGGGGCCTGAATAGAAAGCCCAGGTGTAAGGCAGTTGCAGTCCCCTGAACAGAGCGATCACCACCACCCTTCGATTCGCTCACTTCTTCATTTGCTCCATAACCTTGGCTAAGTCATTTCCCACTGCTCTGCCTATTTCCTTATCTGTGAAACTGGGTTATGAATACTTATACTACCTGGCTCATAGGGATTTGGGGCAGATTAATGAGATAACATCTGCAAAGTACTTTTAGCTCTTAAAGAAAAGGTGCAATAAAGATTGCAAAGTATTACGAATCATGCACAATTAAATCCACTGAACTTGTAAATATTTTTTCAAGTACTGATAGTAACATTATGCTAAAAATAAAATAAACGCACTTCTGGAAGTACCGAGCAGTGGGGCAACAGGTGTTATTGACCCGTCTGACTCTTTTATTGCGTGTGTTTTCCACACCATTGCCTTATATGATGGTAATGGTGGAAGAACAGCTGGGCATTGGTAGGAGCCTGTGCCCAACTGAAATTCCAGCATGTATTAAACTGGCTTTACTTTATCTGTCCCCTGCTCTATGAAACCTATGAAGTGCACTTTCAAATTGATGTGACCAGTTTGTTCCTTCTCTAGCACTTATCACAATATTATATTTTATTCTTTAGCCTTTCCAAATTTGTTTCCAGTGTTCAATTGTGTCTCTTAGAGGGTAGGAACCATAAAACAATACCAGTCCCAGAACAAATTGAGAATTAGACAAATTTTCTTCCAGGTATCTGTCTGGCTATTCAACACTCTTCCTACTTTCCTTTTGCTCTTTCTTAATCTCTGAGAGGTTCTGCCAGGCTTATTCATGGGCTTTCGAGCTACAAAAGTTAACATTGGAAGGGGTTTGAAACTGGTCTTTTGCAACCTCAGTGAGAAACAAAACTCACTGTGTTATCTTTCCCAAAATGTGTGCATTGTAAAGAAATATCAAATACCAGCACATGGGTAGATTATATTTTCTGGATTAAAGAAATATCCCTTAATTTTTTAAAATGATGGTTTATAAGCAGTCACCTACTTGCCCAGAAGTTAACTTCAATCATTGAATTTCCCTTCTCTGTACTTTGTATGTAGTTGGTGCTCAAAGATATCTATTGAATTGCGTTGAATTTCTGGATTCCAATTTATGCTACATGACAGACACCAGAAGATATTTACCATCAATGCTGCAGTGAATTAAAGAACCTAGAATTCGGAAATGACTTAGACTCATTTAAAAATACCTGTAAGACTGATGCCATATTTTAGTAGGATATTCTGATGATGGAAGAAATAGGTAGCTGTGTCTGGGCCTAGTTTCTTTACAAATTAGATATGGCAACAAATGTGAAACAAAAATGAATGAGGTTTTGCTTCACCCTTATAACCTGAACTCTATTCTGGAAGGCTTTATGGTGGTTTTTAAATAGGGTACCTAGTTCTCTAAGTTCCTTTTGCATTTAACACAGCTCCAACTTGGAACTAGAGTGATTTTTAAGCCTCTCCTAATTCTGATATGAAATATAGGTCATATATTCACATTTTCTTTTTTTTTTCTCAGTAAACACCTAGCATTGTGGATTTGAAGAAAATTATTTTCAAGTTTACTTTGCGTAGACAGCTATGCTTTTGGAAAAGAATAATTCCTGCACGAAAGAGGTCAGATTTCGTGTGTCTGAAACAGAAATTACATTACAAGCAATATTTCCTATAGATATGTGTTCATAATGTTTTTCATCCAGGCTTGTGACCCAAGAAGATACAGCTCTTACCGTGTTCTACATATTTTGCTTTGTAAAATATCTCCTCCACTGTTTGTCAGAGATGGTCGTTGGACGGCCAAGCTGTGAGCGCTCTCTTTAATTCTATTTTTATCAGCCTTTCTGGGCTCCATGGATTCCAACTCCTCTCCACAGAGCAATGCTTTGTCTCTTTGTTCCATAGGTAGTGTTATCTTGAGGTATTTTGTAAGAACAAAGTTATCCTAAAGTTTTTAGTGCTACAAAACCTAGAAACCCAGGCAAGATTGGTGCAGATTCATCAAGTCACAAATAAGCTTCCCAATCCCAGGGTATCAGTCGCAATTAAGAAAGTCCTTGGAGCATTAGTTGGGGTGGAATGGGAAAACGGTTTTTGTCATTAGAGGCAGTGTCGCCTGGTGGTCTGAGCGGAGAACTGGGAGTCAGGAACCGAGCGATCTAACGCAGGCTCTGCGAAGCCCTCCTGCGCGGCTTTAGGCAAGCAGCTGCGTCTCAGGAGACCAGGCTCACCTACTTTGAATCTCCCATTTGAAGCACTCCTTACCCAGGGCCAGGGGATACACAGCAGGAAGCCTCATTCCTTGTCTGCAAAATTAGAATATTAATACTTGCCTAAATAACAGATTAACCAGTTAGTGATTGTTAAGTGCTTGGCTGATAGAAAGCAGCAGGAGAAGAAAGGAGAAAAGAAAAAACTGAAACACAATTTTATTCTTGGATGGGTTTTACTCAGCTCTGGATTTTCCTACTGCCCATGCAATCAAGTGACCACACAGTGCAAAGAGCAGGTGTAGAGAGACTGGACCTTAACTTTATTTCTCTCAAGATAGCAGATGAAACTGACTATCCTGCAAGGCTGCATGAAGCTTTGAATAAATGGAGAAACGGAAACCACACTTTGTCCTTGAATCGATGAATTGCAGGGCAAGACTTCATGACGAATAACTGAGAATGTTTTAGCTTTCACTCTTCTATTTGGTTTCTTACAGAAGAGATAATTCAGTGTATTTGGAACTTCCCATATCTATATTTTACAGTGACCAATTTGCAGTGCATATGTGTGCGTGAGAGAGAAAGAGTAAGATTAAGAGAGAGGAAGAAGTTGTGCAATAAGATAGAAGGGAAATCAATAGAAAAATCCAGAAAAAATGGGGCCTATGGACAACATTCATCTAATTAATTTAAATTGTTAACGATATGTTTTTAGGGAGAAAATGACCCCATCAATTTTTCCTTTTGTTCAAAGTCATTGCACATGGGAAAGAAAAAAGCCATCCTTGTGTTTCCCACTGTGCATAGTTTTAGGCTGCTCTGGATTTAATAGTGGAATGAATTTATTTATACAAAATAGAAGAAAGGCACATTTTCATTCACCAAATCTAGAATACTTGATGTTTTGTGCACAACACCTGCAAAGGAAGATTCAGTATGTCCTTTGGGTACATTTGCTCACATGATAATATCAAAAATGCACATTAAGATAAAAAAACAGTAATAACAATGATTATGGATTTGCATAAAATATTGCAAAAAATGTTAAGCATACTAATATGCTTTATTTCTGGTTTTCAAATTCAAACTTCATAGTTGCTACTTCTATTTTTTTTAAAAATAAGGTCCTGATACTATTTTGCCTCTTCCTTTCACTAAGAATGGTTGATGGGCTATTTTAACTAAATTGTAAAAGATCAGCATTTTGCTGTATCTGAAACTTAGACCTTATTATAAGCAACATGTAAAAAAAAGAATACAAAAGCAAAGTAGAATTCCATTATCAGACTAGTATTAGAATATAATGACACTTGTAAGACAATTTTCTGTCACACCTTTATGAAAAGTCTTAGACGTATTTACTAATCGTTTACATATATACACAGGCATTTAGCTCCCTTTAAAAATTAGTTGACAATATAATTATTCCCATTTGCATGTGTCAAAAGAAGTGATTTTTT